>NC_000010.11:86355216-86506731 GCF_000001405.40 Homo sapiens
CAGAGCAGGGGTGGGAGCCCCAGTCTGTGTGAGACAGCCACCACACTCCCGCCTCTTCAGCTCCTGGACACCCCACGGATGCTCCAGTGGAGGCATGGGGAAGGGCCAGGCTGAGCACAGTGGGGGACCAGGGTGGGCCAGGTGGAGATGCAGTCTCAGAGCCCAGCTGCCTCATCTAGGGTCTGTTGAGGGATGAGTGTGAGGGAAAACTGGAAAGATGGGGCCATCAGGGCCACATGTCCCACACCTGGGTGGAGGAGAAGGGGCAGCCTGGGCTCAGGACCACCCTAGTCCCCCAGCTAACACCCCCCACCTCACCCACTGGTAACCTACACTGCCTACAGCTTGGACCTAGAAACGGAAGGGGCATCTCATACCCTCCAGACCACTCTGCCCACACCTCAGGCCCAGAAAGGGGAACTCTGGGTTCTCCTTTCTTCAACCGTGGCCATCTGCCAGGAAACTGGCTGTTTACAGGCTGGGAGGAAGGGCTCAGAGAGTCTAGCTGAGTTGTTGGACACAGACCCAGCTGTCTTCCTGGGCCCAGTGCCTGTCAGAGAGGGCAGCACCCCAGAGAAAGGGGCTGTCACAGGCCAGCAATGGCAGAGAGATGCGTGGTCTCTGCCCCAGCCCACTGCCATTAGCAGGAGAGGGCTGCCACTTCGTGGGGCAGCAGGGGCAAGACGTGGGAGTCTATATGAGGGACAGGGCCACAGGGCTGAAGCCGTGGAAAGTGCAGACTTGCCAAAGTCCAGCTACGGGGACAGGGGGAGGTCATGGGTGCTGGTCCTGTCGGTGGCTGGGCAGAGAACCCAATCTTTACCTCATGACTAGCTCAATGGTCCTGAGAGCTGGGCTTGTCCAGGCACTAGTTTACAGAGCACAAGATTGGCAGACATGGAGAAAAGCAGAGGTGCAACCCCAGCCTAGGCTGGGGACCCAGGCTTCCTAACTTCCCAGCACATGGAAGGGCTGCCCAGAGGTCTGCAGAGGAGGGACAAGTCGCTGAGTACACAGTGGGGTATCAATGGGAGCCACAGATTCTGCCCAACTAGCATCCCGTACCCAAAACTGTTTTTTGCTTTTTGTTTGTTGCTGTTATTTTAATGAAACGCCAAGGAAATAGGAGGGCTGTTTAGCCATGAATGGTAAAGAGGCAATTCTGTTGCTCACCAGTTGTTTCCAGTTCTCTCTGCTTCCAGGCACATAGTAGGGCTGTGCTTCCTGGATCCCTTGTGACTGGCTGTGGCCACATGGCTGGTTGTGGCCAACGAGTCATAAGCAGAAGTGATGTGAGCACATCCAGGCTGAGCCCCCCAGAGCTCTCTTTCCCTCTGGCACAGCAACTGGCAACAACCAAGTGAAGTGACCATGAGGGACCAAGCTCCCCACTGACCGGCAATGGACACACAGCAGGAGGAGGAAATACTGTGTCATGAAAGCTGCTGGGAGTTTTGGATTGTTTGTTACTGCAGCATAACTTAGTCTCCCCTGACTCATACAACGGGAAACACAGAACAAAACCAAAGGGTGGAGACCCACAGGCACAGCCATGGGTAACCAAGTGTAAAAAGAATCACATCCAGGGATGGAATGGGTTAGAAATTATCTGGGAAGAGGCAGGGCAGAAGGGATGCTCTGAGTTGTTAGGCGACAGCATTTCCTGGGCAGTAGAAGGCTCAGTGAAGAGGGAAGACAGCTGCTATGAGGACAAAGCTAGAGGATTTCAACCTCGCAGCTACAAGAATTGGGAAAGAGAGTCTGTCTGCCATTACAAGAGGTGACTGTGAGTGCTGAGGGACAGCCTTAGCTGGCCCCCAAGAGAAACCTGGAGAAATGGCTCCAGGAGGAAAATTGTCAAAGTACTCATGTCCTAGACCTAGAAACAAAAGGGGCCACCTCATCCCCTCCAGTCCACCCTGCCCACACCTCAGGTCCAGAAGGGGAACTCTGGGTTCTTCTTTCTCAACCATGGCCATTGGCCAGGAAACTGGCTGTTTCCAGGCTGGGAGGGAGGGCTCAGAGAGCCTAGCTGAGATGTTGGACACAGACCCAGCTGCCTTCCTGGGCCCAATGCCTGTCAGAAAGGACAGTATCCCAGAGGAAGGGGCTGTCACAGGCCAGCCCAGGACTAGGAACAGCAGCAGCTCAGAGGCAGTATGACCCGTGGCCTCTCCCACACGCCTGGCATAAGGTATCCATCTGCTCACTGCCAGTTAAGTCCAACCTCCCAATCTAGAGGGCTAAGCCATGGCAATAAGGAATGAAGGGAGCCTCTTGAACCCAAAATTTGAGGAAGTGGGTGGTGCTGGAGTGTAGTCTATAAAATGAGAAAGTGTGTGTGCCCTCATGCATATGTGCACGTGTGTGTGCTCTTGAGTACAGGTGGATGTGTGTGTGCCTGAGTATATGCATGCATGTGTGTGTGTGTTGCACATGCCTGTGTGTGCACCTGCACAGGAGTGACTCCAGAATGAAGGAGAACCCTGACACCTGTGAGTTCAGCACCCTGACACCGTGAGTTCAGCACGGGCTTGTGGGGAATCCAGAGAGGGGACCCAGGGCCTAACTCCAGACTATCAATGCCTGCAGCCTCATCCACAGCTGTTATCACTGGCAGTAGCCCTTGAGGGGACCAGGAACAGCAGCTCTCTGTGGGACCCCGGGCGGCAAAGCAAGATTGACTTCAACGAGGGCCGTCCCTTGGGGTGTAGGTAGGCATGGGCCTAGACGGTGAGGTTCTGAAGAACAACCTGCTCAGGCAGAAAAGAGGCCCTGGGTCCAAGCGGCAGCACCAACTTACAGTCTGACTATTCGAACAGCAGTTTCCTCCAGGAACTTCCTTATGCACAAGCAGCAGCCAAGCCCAGGAAAAGAAGCTGACATGTCATTGGAGAACACAGGCAAGTCTGTGGAGGCTCCACAGGCTTACAGTGTGATGCTTCCAGGGTGAGCTTTGTAGAAACAGAAAGGAAACATAGCCATCCATCCCAAGTGACTATAGCAGGCCCAGCGAACAAAAGAGGATGCCCCGCAGTAAGCAAGAGTGCAGTCAAGCATGCAAAAGATTATCAGGGTGGAAGGAAAGTGGAGGTGGACAATGCATATTGGGCACAGACAGGTGTGCCAACATGGTAGGAGAATAATGGCCCTCAAAGATGTCTACATCCTAATCCCCAGATCTGTGAATATGTTAGGCTACATGGCACAGGTAGCAGACAGCATTAAGCTTGCAAACCAGCTATCCTTAAAATAGGGAGGGCCGGGCACGGTGGCTCACATCTGTAATCCCAGCACTTTGGGAGGCAAAGGCAGGCGGATCACGAGGTCAGGAGATTGAGACCATCCTGGCTAACACAGTGAAATCCCGTCTCTACTAAAAATACAAAAAATTAGCCGGGCATGGTGGCGGGCGCCTGTAGTCCCAGCTACTCGGGAGGCTGAGGCGGGAGAATAGTGTGAATCCGGGAGGCAGAGCTTGCAGTGAGCCAAGATCATACCACTGCACTCCAACCTGGGTGACAGAGAGAGACTCTGTCTCAAAAAAGAATAAATAAATAATAGGGAGATTATCTGGGATTATCCAGATGGGCCCAATATAACCACAAAGGTCCTTGAAAGAGGGAGCCAAGCAGAAGAGTCAGAGAAGGAGATGTGATGACAGAAGCCAGGTCAGCATGAGAGGATGTGAGAAGGCCTTGACCCGCCATTGCTGGCCTTGAAAATGGAGGAAAGGGCCAGGGGCTGAGGAATCCAGCAGTCTTTGGAAGCTGGAGAAGGCCAGGAAACAAATCTTTCCTCCAGCCTCCAGAAGGACCCAGATTTTAGCCCAGTGAGACCCATGTTAGGCTTCTGACCTGCAGAACTGCAAGAGAATAAATGTGTGTTGATCTAACCAACTAAATTTGGGGTAAAATTTGTTTCCGCACCACAAGAAAACTAACACAGCTGAGAGGATGGGAATAAGGGGTCTACAGGCATCTTTAGGAAGACACGGACATCACACTCAGAGAGCCTCTGATGGTGTCTGGTGAGGCTGCCAGGAGGACTGCAAGAGCGTGGCCTCGATGGGACCTACAATTCTCTATAATTCTGAATGGAGCCAACGAAGATGCCGGAAGCCATCAGAGCTAGGGATGGGGAGCCTCTAGCAGAATGTCTAGATACCAGTGTGGCCAGTGAGGGGCAGGGTGACCACCTAGGAGGTAACGGATATAAACTGAGCAAGGCCTCCAGATGGGCACCAACAAGCTCTCTGTGTTTCATTTTTATTTTATTTCATTGTTTCATTCTGTGAACCACAAGCTATTCTTGGTAATTTTTATGTCTTCCTAGAATCCTTTTGTGCTTATGATAACTAAAAGGAATATTGCCTCACTTGCATGCATTCCTTTTTTCTGCCTCTTTCCTAAACTGTTATCCTTCCACACTGCGACAGGTATATCTACAGCATATCTAATAACTCTCGTCTTTTACTCACAGTAAAAAGTAATGCTGGGAAATGAGAAGACTCGTGCTCAGCCAGTTCTTTTATATAAATTATATGCATTTATATAAACTCCTACTTGAGCAAGCACTTTACAACAATCTGAAATTTTTTTATTTAACAAATTAGGATCTCTTTTAGTACCTAGAAGACAAATTTTCACACTATTTGTTAATATGGACTTTGCCAGCTAAATCTAAGATGCAACATTTTAGAGATTTAAATGTCCTTTCTGTGTTATTTGCTAACTTTCAATCCTTATCAAATGGATATTTTATTGTGTGATCCATTGTTTTCCATACATTGACCAAATGTCCTAAAAGGCAGTGCTTGTAAGGAGCTTGTTAAAAGTCATCCTGAAGAAATTGTAAGTATAAATCTTAGGACCAACATATCCAGGCCGAGTTTCTTGTTTTGTTCAGGAATACTTGATTCTGCATATCTCAGCATAAATAGTTCCCTTTTATAAAAAAAAAAGTTTTGAATATTGAGAAATGTATGCAGTTACTAGAAGTAATGTTTACAAATAGTTCATAGTGATTTCAGAAAAGGCCAATGATGTTAAATAGGAAAAAATAACAGGATATAAAACTGAACAGAATGGGAGCTCTCAAAATGTATAAAATACAGTGGTGGGGGGAAGACTGGAAGGAAATAACACTAGTGCAATTCAGAGTGATTTTGTTCTGCCTCTTGACACTTTCCTGTACCTTCCACATTTTATATAATAAGCACACATTGCCCTTTTTCTTTTTTATATTTTTATATTAATACATGCTCATTGCAGCAATGCATTTCTTTTATAATCAGGGAAAAAAGTAAGAGCTAAAAATGAAAAGGTCAGTTTAGGTCCTCTCTCAAGGAATTCACTAGCTTAAAAAAATAATGTAGCTGAAAATATCAACGGCCTCAAGAGAAGCTGAGATGGATTCACAGTTGGGTCAAGGAACGGAAAGGGAATTACTGTTTACAGAACACCCACCGCAGGCCTTATGTAGATGATTTACACATGTCTCATCTCATTTAATCCTCACAATCCCATGAGGCAAATCCTATGATTATTCCCTTTGAACAGATCTGGAAACAGAAGCTCAGAGCAGAGCTCCAGGGTCACACCACGAGTGAAGACAAGCAAGATGGGAACTGAAACTCTTTAAGCTCCACCAGGCTCTTATCACTGCATGGCACTGCCTCTCAGACCAAAACAGCGACAGCACCACTCCACTGAGAGGTCACTGTGGGCTTGTCCAGTCAATGATGGAGATCAAGCCCCCATCTGCCTTTGCTCTCCATCCCTGACCACTCCGCTACTAAAAGTCTTTTTCTTTCCTACTCAACCTGTATCGACAACCCATGTCCTGCTGCAATGGATGTCCAGGCCCAGCAGTGAGATATAAGGCATTCATCAAGCAGGGATCAAGCCCAGTGATGGAAAAGCACCCCACAGAGTACATCCAAGGAAGGACATCCAGAGAGCTGAGCACCTGCAGCAGAGCCCCAGGCAAGGGAAAAGGAGGCTGCTGAGCACTGCTCTGCCCCTCACAGAGGCCTTCCAGGGCAGGCTCCTCCCATCCCTTGTAGGCATCCAAGGGCTATGCAAGGTCACAAGATAACAATGGATTTCAGTCCACCAGACTCATAAAATGAAAGTACATGCCAGCTTTCACCAGCACAAACTCTCTGGGCAGCAGGCAGCCCACCAACAATACCTGGCCAGTGTCTCTCTCCCTAGACAACTGTCAACCAAGAATCTAACTCCCTAGTTCCAGACATGCAGAAACACTCACTCTCACACCCCACAGAGACTGTGTCAGTCTGCCATCCTTGGAGCCTGACACATTTTTCCAGCTATACAAACAGAGAAACCAAGACCCAGAAAAGGCCCCTGGGTGGAACCTTTGTCCCCAGGACAAAGTTGCTTTGGGGCGCTTACAGGTTGAATCACCCATAGCTATGTTTTGTTTGGCTTGTACTGTGTTGTTTACATTATTTTATTAGTTGGCAATAGCTTTAAATCAAAATTTACATTAAGGTCCAGATTTGGGGCTCCTCTTAAAAAAATAAATCAGCACATCTACAACAGTAGGATTTTCACGCCCAATGGCAAAATCTGTTAAAGCTGTGTGACAGCTTCTCCTTTTAATGGAGATGACCTCTTCAGACCCTGTACTCCAGGTGCCACAGGAACCAGCTGCCCGGTTCATCCTTGTGTGTTACCTGCATGAGGTGGCAACCTTGTGCAAGAGCATCATGTTTAGTCCCTGGGGAACTGCTGATGGGAGCGGACGGGCATCATTCAGAGGCAAAATGAATGAGCTTGGATACTCAACACTGCAGAGGGGAGCCAACAGAGGTGTGTCACCAGACATGGAACACAGGCAGGGTCCCCACCACACTGTGAGCTCCTGGGTCCAGGAAATATGTGCTTCCAAACTGTGGCTTCAGCTCCCAAGCACAAAGAATGAATGTCAACAGAGATGGGGTTTGTGGAACCAGTGTCAAGGGAACAGGTGGCACTGTGAAAGTTGTAGCTTGTCACCCCAGGTCCCCACCCCATTTAGGGTTCCTTCCGCTAAGAAGGCCCTGCCCTCCCCTGGCTGGAGCCCACCCCAAGCACCTGCAAGGAGCTGTGATAAGGGCACACTGAAAAGAAGTCCAGAGGCAGGGGGTGTCTGGAGATAGAGACTGCTGGTGGGACACGACCAGACACCAAAGAAGGGCAGGAATTCCTCTTCCCTGTACCTCAACAGACATCTGACAATGGACATCTGTCACAGCTGGAAGCAGCAGCTCCCATAATAGGCAGTGTTAGCCTCACCCCCCCTAAAAGAAAACACTTGGGACTCCCGGTTTGTAAAACCACCTCAAGAAATCCTTGGACCTTCAGTCCCCAGAAGTAGTCCCCGGTCCCTGCCCCCAGAGCTGGCCCCTTTCCTTCCTCTGCTGCACCCAAGAATAGGAGACCCCCAGAATTCCTCCTTCCAACACAACGACCTCCCCAACACCAGCTCTGACCCCCCAGACCCAGGCCAGAGCCATCATCGAGGCATCCTGTCCTTGCAGGCACCGGGGAGACTAGCAACCCATGTGTACCAAAGCAGCAGGAGGACTCTCGGCTCAACGGGCTTGAGGAGAAAACACCAGCCAGGAGCTCTTAGCCAGCCCACCTCCCACTACACCCACTGCCCCCTCTACACTTCTCTACCAGTTCCTCCAGCAAGGAATCCCTGCATCCTGCGCCACTAACTTGCCCCAGCACTGAGGGGCGCTGGCCCCAGAGTCCCCATGGTTGCGGGGAGCAAGGCAGAGGGAAGGAGAAGGGACTTAAGCCGGGTAAGTGTCAGAGGCGGAGCCTTAGGCCTTAACCAGGAATCTGGAGGCTTGGAGAAGGAACCAGGGTTCCCGAGCTGAAAGGTTGAAGGGGAGGGACTAGCAGAGAGGAGGGAAAGCAGAGGGGGTTGCTGTCGTGAACGCCCTCGCCTCGCACCTGTGGCGCCTGCCGCGGGGCCCGACCGGAGGCAGTGGCTGTGGACAAGGGCGGCCCCGGCGTAGGCCAGGATTTCCCCGCAGCCGGACCGGCCCAGCTCCGCTCCTTTCCTGGGCGAACAGCGCCCACCTCCGGCCCAGGCGGCGGCGCCTCCGCCCGCGGCGCGGACAGCGAGAGAGAAACCGGCTCCTCCAAACCTGGTGGAGGAGCGCTGCAGAGAAGCGCCGGGCTGAGGCTCTGGGGGCCGCGGGGCGCGAAACGCCGCGCCTACCAGGTTATGCCCGGGAGAAGGAGACAGGTCGGGCTCCAGCCGCTGGGCGCTCCTCACCTCGAAGCGAGGAAAACACCGGGCCACTGAGATCAGGGGAGGTGCGCCCGATACAGGTACCCGGCACGCAGACACGCCCACCCCCAAACACCGAGAAACAAAGACTGCCCCGAGCCACGCACGCCTGCGCGGCCAGCGCTGGGCGCACACCCGCGCCCACACAGCCCGAAGGGCGCCACGCAACCCGCAAGAACACCAGCTCCCCGCGCTCGCAGGCTCTCCGTGCCGGCCCGCAGCGCAGAGCAGTCCCGGCGCCGCTGCCTAGGTGGGCCGGGGAAGGCGCGCCACCGCGCATGGCACCGCGGCTGCCGAGGAACAGAGGGTGCCCTGCGCAGCCCAGCTCGTCCCAACCCCTCCGGTGCCCACTGCTGCGACGCCTCGCAGGCCGTGTCCCAGTGGGCCCTGGGCACAGCGGTCACTCACCTTCCTGCACAGCCTGGAATGGGTTGTTGGCCTCGATGACCTTGATGGAGTAGGTGATCTTCTCGCTCTGCAGGATGTCATCGTTGAGGCTCAGGTCGGATACCGCCAACTGGAACACCCTGTCGTCCTTGGCCGCGTTCTCCTCGAAGATGGCACCTGGAGGAGAGAAGGGATCAAGACCGGACCTGGACAAGAACCCTCTCCCCGCTTCCCTTGGCCCGAGGGTCAAGGCACTCGCAGACCGATGATTGCCGGGTGGTGGGAAGTCTGAACTGGGATTTCAGCTTGGCGGGGTAGATTAAGGCTCTCCGATCTCCACCTGCACAGGAATATGTTCCCCTCCCCCCACCAGCCCTCAGCGCACACGTGCACACAGTTGACATGAGTTACACATGCACATCCCACAGGCTGCCACCAGGTCACACACGTGTCTCACAACCAAGGCACCACATGTCCTAGCCATGCTCCACACAAGGGACTAAGCCAAGCTGGGGTGGCCCCAGGCAGCGCCCAAATGCCTTGACATGGTTCCATAAATCCCATCCCAGGAGCCAGGAAGTTCCCCGGGAGGGTGGTGTCCCCCACCCAAATCCCAGGACAGAATGATGGGTCCTTCTCCATGCACGTCCCCTGCTGAGTGGAGCTGAGCGAAGCAGGTCTACAGTTGGCTTTCCTGCGCAGAGGGGTCTTCCTTAGGCAGGGGCTTCGGATGGCCTGCAGCTTGGATGACTGTGACGCTGCCCGGCCTGGCGCCCTGAGCTCAGCCTCCTACTCTCCATCCTTCCCCACTCCCATTTCCTGTACGTCTGTCGAGGGGAGTGGGGGAAGGGGACTTGTGTCCTAGGCGCCTCCACGTTCAGATCTAGCGGAGCTGGGGGTCCCAGAAGGAGCTGCTCTTGAAGGGCTTTCTAGAACCGCGGACAGCTCCTCCAGGGCGCCCTCCGGCTGGCGCTTTGTGCGCCTAGCACAGCTTCCACGGACCCTGCGCTTCCAGCCGAGATCAGTGCGACCAGCCCGAGCCTAGTCCTGCAACCTGGACAGCTCTGGAGTCAGCCACCCACATCCCGCCTCACCAAGCCTCGAGGGTCCCTGAGGTCCCGGAGCTAGGCCCAGTGATCCCTCGAGCTGGGGGCTGGGTAGGAGGAGGGAGGCCCGGATTCCTCACTACACCCGGAGCCGGCGCCGCAATGCTGACCGCGAGACCCGCACCCCTCCAGGGCGGGAAGCAGGTTTGGTCACGGGCCCCTGAGGAGGAATCGTAGCTCTCCGAGCCCAGGCCTAGTCCTCACCACCCCACTCCACCACCCACCCTCCCGCCTTGTCCCGTCCTCCTCGCCTTCAACACCTCCCAACCCCCAGTTTCCCTGTGCTCGCTGGTCTTTCCCAACTTCCGGAAAGACGACTGCGGAGGGACTCCCCCAAAGCGACCGCTGTCAGCCCCCCAACTCGGCCCAACTTCCCGAGATTCCTCCCGTGTTGCTCCCAACTCCCACCCACTCCCCCTCGGCGCGCCCACTCCCCCTCGGCGCGCCCCCTCCTCCTCTGCGCTTTCATCTTCTCTCCCGGTTCTCTCTCTCTATCCATCTCTTCCCGCTCAGCATCCCCCTACCCCCCGCTGCCCACGCTTCTTCCCTCGGCTCCCACCACCCAGACCGTCTGGGCCCCCAAGACTTGGACCACGCAAAACTCTAGGACTGTCCAGGATGGGGATGCAGTCGCCACAACCAGATACACACGCACTCACACATACACCAAGGGCTACACAGACACACACCGGAGAAGCAGGCAGACACTGTGTCCACTCTAACAGGCTGACAGACAGTCGTGCACGCACCAACACACGCTCAGATGGCCCCACACACCCCAACACCCTCTCACAGTAACACCGACACCGTGCCAGGCGCACACAGCGACACACGCTGACAACACGCACCCACACACATTCACACACGGTTCCGGTCCGGCCTCTTTGATCTTGCCCTGCCAACTTGGCGAGCCCCCCGCTGTACCTCCCCCTGCCCCCCGCTGCTCTGAGCTGCGCAGAAGGGCCCTCCCGACCCGCCGACGGCCCCGCTAAGGGCGCGGGTCTCGACGCGCGTCCATCCCGGTGTTCCCCGAAGCGTCGGCCCTAAGTGTCGGTAGAGGCCGCGGGGCCCCGCGCGGAGATCGGAGCCCCGGGGAGCGGCAAGCAGCCAGCGGGAGCGCGGCGCGGCCGGTGCACAGCTCCTCCGCCGGGCGGCGCGGCGCGGCCCTTCGGGGGAGCACCGCCCGCCGAGCCCCTCGGCCCAGGGAAACGCCAAGTTTGGACGCCGCGCACCCCCTGCCCCGTTGGGGCCCCCGCCCAGCCTCGGCCCGGCCTCCAGCCGCGCTTACCGATGTGGATGATGGAGTCGGCCCGCACCGACACGCACTGGCATATCCAGGGGAGAAGCCACAGCGTCAGCGCTTCCATGTCCCCCGGGCGCGCGGCTCATCCACCCGGGCCCGGGGCGAGGCCGAGGGCAGCGCGAAGCGGGGAGGCGCTGGTCCCGGTGCAGTCCCGGGCCGCTCCCCGGGAGAGCCGAGCCCGCCCGTGCGTCTTCCCCCGCGCGCCCGCCCCTGCGCCCTGCGCCCGCCCCAGCCCAGCCCAGCCCAGCCCAGCGCGGTCGGGCTCCCGCTCCGGCTCCGGTGGCGGCTGCGGCGGTGCTGGCAGCTTGAGCCCAGGCCGGCGCGGCGGGGGCGGCCCGCGGCTGTGGCAGCGGCGCTTCCCGCGGCTAGAGCGGCTTCGGGGGAGGCTGAGGCGGTGGCGGCGGCGGCCGGGCCGGCGTGGCGGCTCTGGGCTGGCTGTGTGTCTGAGCCCCGGCGAGGAGCGAACTGCGGAGGACGCCCCCTCCCCTCCCCCTCCCCCTCAGCTCCGCTCCCCCTCCCCTCCCTGCCCGCCTCCCTCCCCTCCGCCCGCCTCTCTACCACGTGACTGCGGAGCCTCAGCCTCGCCGCGCGGCTCTCGCCCGCTCGCGGCTCGGAGGGGGCGCCGGGTGCTCCACGCTCCCGGCTCGGGGGACGCTCGGAGACCGGCACAGCGGCGGGGACCGGCCTGGGCTGCGGCGCGCCGAGCTCTGACGGTTCGGGCCTCCTTCTCCGGTTCGCCAGGGGCGGGAGAATGGAGGAGGGCCGGCCGCTAACTGCCCTCGAGGGGCTCCCGAAGCGCCCTGGCGACCTCAGCAGCCGCGCGTCTCGGGTCATGTCCCCGGCCGAAACAGACCGTTCCTCGTGGAGTGGGACCTGGGGAGCAAGAAGAGAGACCGGGGCGGGGCGCCGGGCCAGGCCCCAGGACAGCTGGGGAGCCAGAGGGGGCCGGCCGCCGCAAGCATCTCAGAGTAGAGCCCGGGCCGTGGGCTCGAACCCTGGCTGGCCGCGCGGACCTCGGCGGGCGCCCATCCCCCGCTCCATGGGCAGCGCGCTCAGCCGGGAGTCGGGCAAGAGGCTCGGACTCTGAAGCCCAATTCATGGCCGGAAACCAGCGCAGCCGTGACCGCGGCGCCTGGACGTGAGGAGCCTTCCAAGCGGCCGGCGGGCTCAGACTCCGACCCTGCACGGAGCTTTCATGTGCGAGCCCGGGCGAAGAGCCCGCTCCTCGCGGCCACAGCGGAACAGGGCTCCCTCCGCCTCCGGTGCCTGCCTCGGGCCGGCCACCACCAAAGAGAGCGTTAAGCTGTTGTGGGCTCGTGCCTGAAAGGGACTGGGCTCCATGTGGCACCCCCAAGATTTCGAGGAGACAGCTGAGCTTCCTGGGGTCTGGGACCTGGCAGAGCCTCGTTCAAAAGCTGCTCCTCCAGCAAGCCTGGGAACGTCCCCGGGCCCTGTTGTCCGCGGAGGGGCCCCAGGACTCCCGCCACGCACCAGGGGGAGAGGCTCCCACCACAGCCCTTGCCCAGAGCTCCCAGCGCAGTGGGCGAGGCAGACACCCAACCAAGTCATCTTTTAAATGTTGGGGGGGGCTATGAATGAGCTGTGTATGCTCAGATGCCTGGGCTCTGAACCAGCCTGGGAAGAAGAGCAGGGATGACTTCCTGGAGGAGATGACAGTTGTAAAGACTGAGTGGAGGTTCCCAAGGGAGAAAATAAGGCTTCCAGGCATTGAATAGTGGTGAGCCAAGGCAAAAAGAAAGAAGTGTGTGTCTGTATGTCTGTCTGTCTCTCATGTGGCCAGAGCCAAAGAGTAAGCATTGGTAGATTTCACTTTGGAAAGAAAGATTGGAGAGGATGGGCTGTGCAGAGGGGGCCAGTGGAGGCCCATAGCACTGTGAGGGAACCCTGGGTGGGCCAGCTCAGCTGGGCAGGGACAGCCTGTTGGAGCGGAGAAGCTGGATTGCAGAAGTATCAAGGAATCCCATGAGCCAGCAAGGTGACTTCTAGGTTAAGGAGGCCAGGGGGCAAGAAGAGAGGAGTGGTCATATGTCATACTTGCCCATGGGAGTGGCTGAATGTGGTCCTACACACACACACACACACACACACACACACACACACACTTCTTCCAAAAACCTGTCTTAGGGTCCTTGAGTAGTGAAACCTGACCCACCCCGCATCTCAAAACCCTCTACACCTCTAATTCTTATTCCTGCAAAATTCTACCATTCACTGGCTGAAATGCTGTAGGGAGAAGAGAAATAAATGATGAGTTTTATTATACATCAGTTTGGTTCCTACGGGGACTGTCTCCACCTTGAAAGGATGGTGGGTGTGGTCTTGACCTGAAGTCCCTGTGGGTCAGGGACTCTCCCCGGGCCTCCTGTTGTTGGGGGTTCTCCAGTGTGTTAGTACAGTGGGCATGTGATATACCCAGTTAGAAGTTTTTCTTTGATGTATGTTTTGCTAGGTGTAGGTAGCATGATTTCAGTGGGATAAGTATTAAGACCTCCTTCCAAGTATTAAGAAGACAACCCACCAACACATAGTTGTGGAATGATTTCCATCAAGTTCCAGTTTGGATGATGAGGTGGGTGATGAGGTTCCTGTGGCTTGGCATCTGAGGATCATGACTCAAGGTGGATCTCATCTGGAAGTTGTTGACCTGGGGCAACCTCACCTTCTGTCCTGGGTGCCTCCTTCCTCTCCAGCTTCCAGGGCGTGTGGTAGTCTGCCATCCCCATATGCTCATTCCCAGATCCTCACCCTGGGACAGTCCACTCAGCCAAGCCAGTTTTCCTATCCAGGCTAGAATCCCCTGGACACTGTAGGCAGCGTGGTGACTGTAGGCACTTGCTCAGCTCCTGTTCCTCACAGAGCTGGAAGGCAGGCCCAGAGACCACTGGGGACCTGTACAGACTCACCTTGAGGCAAAATGTGTTTAATCCTCTGCCACCTAAAGTTGGAGTTGCCAGGTTCCAGGGGCATTGGATGTTATTGGTCAGTTGCTCAGACTCATCAAGCCCTTAACAGTTTATTGCTCCTGGCCCAGCTATTCTTGGCCCAACACCCTTATCCCTGATAGCCTCTGGGGCTGCAAATGCTGCCTCTCCAAACCAGGGGAAGCAACTCTACCCAATGAACAAGTTCACCCCTAATGCAAGAATCTAGCTGGAGAAGATAGATTAGAAATCTCTGGGTCATATGACACACATCCACTTCAGAGAGAGAAAAACTGAGGCCCAGAGAAAGGCATCAGGTGAGTTGCTGGCAGGCCCAAGGCTCAGTCCTCTTGGTTTGCTCCTCACTACACAAAGGTGTATTCACAGAAATTAAAACTGAGTCAGTAAATCTTTCTTTTACACAAGCTCAGCCAGCACAGGTGACTGCTTTTTCTAAAGAGTTCTTCAGTTTTACTGATTCTAATTACTTTTCTTTAGCACTTACCACATGCAGGCACTGTGCTCACCACCTGACATCTTACCGAGGAGATGGTCATCCCATTTTACACACAAGGAAATTGAAGGAGGGTGCAAAAAGATAAAACTGGGCTCATCAGGAATCTCAACTGAAACAACACTGGACGCTAGTAGTTGGCCACAGAAGCTGTAGATGAAATGTCAAGGCAGAGAGAGGCCTCAGTGGTCTACTTGGAAGCTACAATCATTGTGACTTAAAGCTTTGTCATTCCAGAAATGCAGACCTTTCCTTTCTCCATTGCCTTCTTTCTCACCCCATCCAAAAGCTGGACTAAGGAAAAGCCAGCTGGAGTCCTGGCCCTCCAAGTGACCTGCCTCCTGGGCACAATCCTGAGGAGCTGCCTGCCTGATGTGGAACCACCAGTGCCCAACCCCTGCAGAAGTGCCCCTCCTGAACCATGCGTCTCCAGGGAGGGCCCAAAAACTCTATCTTCCTCATTCCCTCCTCAGCACAGAGCCCACCAGTGATATGGAAGACAATTCGGCCCAGGCCCTGCCTGCAAAGAAAGATCAAGTCCAAGCCTGGGGAATTCTCTGCAGGCTTTGGCATGGAACCCAGCTGTCCCGTGTACACAGGGTGGAGGCCAACCCAGGTCTTAAGGTCAAGCCCCCAGGGAAGAGTCTGTAGGCATCTGGGAAGGGGTCTTGCTGCCAGCCTCATCCGTCACTACAGGCTCCAGGGAACCCACTTTCTGCCAAGATCCAAGCTCAGAAAATCTCACTGCTGCCTTCCTCTCTTAACCCATTGGGTTTTTCCTGTTTTCAATTTTTTCTTGGAGACAGGGTCTTGTTCTGTCACCCAAGCCGGAGGACACTGATGTGATCATGGCTCACTGTAGCCTAGACCTCCTGGGCTCAAGCAATCCTCCCACCTCAGCCTCCTGAGTAGCTGAGACCACAGGCACATGGTACCATGCCCAGATAATTTTCTTCATTTTTTGTAGAGATGGGGTTTCACCATGTTTCCCAGGCTGTCTTGAACTCCTGGACTCAAGCAATCCTCCTGCCTCGCCTCCCAAAGTGCTGAGATTACAGGTGTGAGCCACCACGCCAGATTTGTTTTTTGGTTTTTTTTTAAAACACCCTTGTTTATTGCTTATTTCGTCTGTTCTCCCAGCGCTGTGTTGGCTCTTCAGTTGAATGTGAATTCTCTGTCTCTACTTTGTCTTCCTTACTACCCTTTCTTGCCAACCTCTTTCATCTTATTTTTACTGTTTCTCAGCTTGTATTTATTTTATGTGATGTTCTTTTATATTACTGTATTTTTTAGTTTACTTTTACTCTTGGTAGCCTCGTGGGTTGTTACTTTAAATTTCCCAGGCCAGCAATCTTTTGCATTGCTCATTCTATTAATTCGAGACTTCTATTGATTCATTCCTTGGTTTTCCCGAGGTTAGGGAGAAGGAAAATTCCAGCACCAGCTTGCCTCAGCCACCAGGGCAAGACCCACTGTTATGCCCCTTTGCACCCTTCCCGTGGCATGGTGCAGACACCCATGGTGGGCAGCCCAGGTGAGGGAGGGCTTCTGCGGGCCGGAGCCGTGCCCCATGGGCCAATGAGGAGAAAGGAAATTACACACCGTGTGTCCACCCTAGATAGGAATGCCTCATCTTTCCAGGGCAAGGACCTCTTTACCCCCATTATACAGTCAGGAAACTGGGACTCAGGACTGGGTCTTCAGTCTGCTTAGAATCAACTAGTCCAAAAAGTTACCTGTGTGAAAAACTGCTTCCTTTGCAAAAGCAAGGACCTCCAGAGGTCTCTTTCCTGGACCCAGGCTCTCCAGGCAGGATGGGTGGCAGGACTGAACAGAAGCTCAGGCTCATCTGGGGCTCTCATGCTAACATCCAGGATTCCCCTTGACCCCCTGGAGTCCAACAAGGTTCATTCCTTCCTTAGAACCCTGCAAAGGTCAGATAAGGCAAGCTGGAGTGTGCACAAAGGCATCTCCAAACGCCAAGGGAGAGCAAAGGAGAAGGAAGGCTCAGATCCCAGGAATGACCCCCAGGAGCTGTCATCTCAGTCCCAGGCCTCTGGGGGCAGCCTGTGTCTCACCTCCTGCTAAAGCAGAGATTCTCCAAGTGTGTGCCCCAAAGCCTGGATCTAAGAGGCTCTTCAGAGGAAGCTCGGGGCTTCTGAGGACCCCACTCCACGTCCATAGCCAGCCTTGCACATGGGCGTTCTGAGTCCACCGTTGTGTGGAGAATGGGCTTCTGCTGCTGCAGCTCACACATGTAAAACCACAGCCCTGAAAAGCCTGTCCCAGAGCCCACAGGCTGGCCCAGGCCCTCCCAGGAGACCTGCTGGGCTCCCTGCTTCCCAGCCCCAACGCCTGCCTGGGGTGGCTCTTCTCCTCTCTCTCCAACCTGGGCTCTGCAACTTTGCTGTTTTTGCACTTTGGGGACCACCCTATTCCGCAGGTGACTGGAAGGACTAAGTGGCAGGGTCCTGAATCCTGGCCTCTCTGACCCCAGGGCTGAACTCAGGCTCCTGTACCCTCAACAGTCACTGCCTGACTGTCCCAGAACATGAAGTGCCACAGAGGCTCCTGCCCCTCCCACCACTGCCCAGGGCTCCTCCTGCCCCTGTCGTCTCCTGCTTTGGGTTCCAGGGCTCCACACAGGTTTAGCTGAGACCTTGAGCTGAGTTAAGGAAGGGAGTGTACATTGCAGGTGAAGGGAACAGCGAGAGGAAAGGTATGGAGGCGGAAGCAAGTAAGGGAAGGCTGTGGGGAGAGCAGCAAGGTGGGAAGAAGGAGGCAGCAGAGGGACCAGGGTAGAAGTTGACAGAATGGTCCTGGTGGGAGATGCTAAAGCCAGACATGCTCCTTCCCAAACACATCTCTACAGAGTGGGCCTGGGGTGGCATCATAGCAGCCAGAGACCTGTCAACCATCGTGTCTTCAGTGGACATCCTGGGCAAGAGAGCCACCAATCCACAAAAAGGAACTTAAATAGTGGAGCGAGAGGACTTTGTCCCCTTTGCTACCAGGGAACTCATCGGAGACTGTCCCACCCTGGTTCTACACACAATACTTTATGCCAGTCATATGTCCTCTGCCCTCCCAGGAATGAGGCTGCAGGTGTCCACACATAGAGTGGGGCCTTGTTGCTCACCAGTCGCCCCCTGCTCCTTGTTTAAGATGAGATACCTAAATGTCAGCCTGCACAGCAGGCCAGGAGCTGCACAGACATTTTGTTCAATGGATGTGACAGGTCCACCCCACCACACCCCTCCTCATCCCATCCTAAGTTGGGAGCAGCACAGGGGCTCCCACCAGCCCACAGCCTTTCAGAGCCGAGTCCCCGACTCTCCCAAGGGATCAGGGATGGGGGAGCTGCATCCACCTGAAGCCCTTGCTCATCCAACAGAAAGCCCCTTCCCCAGACCCAGCCCTCCAGCTAAACGCAGCCCCTAATGGATCTGGGCACCCTATATATGGACACACCCATTTCCAAGAGCAGGTTATCTGGTCTGTAAACCTCCTCTTCCATCCGGCAATGAAGTGAAATTGTGATTGATTTTTCCTATCTGGTGCACCATAGTGCATTTAGCACCCTATAAACCTAAATGGGGGAGGTACTACCTCCCAGGAGGCTCCTGGAGACTTGGCTTGGAGCAAGGGCTGCCTGGCACTCCTTCAGATGAGGCAGGGACATGGCAAAGGCCCTGAATCCACTGCCAATGTGCTAGGCAACCTTGGGCAAAGTCCCTGACTTGCCAGAGATCTGTCTGGAAAATAGAGAGGGACCCAGAGATGTCTTTTGTTTTTGGGCTTCGTTTTTTTTTTGTTTTTTTTTTTTTTTTTTTGAGACGGTCTTGCTCTGTTGCCCAGGCTGGAGTGCAGTGGCATGATCGCAGTTCACTGCAACCTGCACCTCCCATGTTCAAGTGATTCTCCTGCCTCAGCCTCCCAAGTAGCTGGGATTGCAGGTGCGTGTCACCACGCCTGGCTAATTTTTGTATTTTTAGTAGAAAAGGGGTTTCACTAGGTTGGCCAGGCTGGTCTCAAACTCCTGACCTCAAGTGATCCGACTCCCTCAGCCTCCCAAAGTGCTGGGATTACAGGCCTGAGCCACCGAGCCTGGTGGGAGCTTTGATATGAGAGAACAGAAGAGGGAGTGGGAGGAGGCAGAAGCCCCCGGGGAGGCTCTCAGGGAAGGAGGGGAACCTGCATATGCTTAACCCTTGCCAAGCACAAGGCCTGTGCCCCACGGCAGCACACATGCCTCACTGTGGGGACAGGCAGTGGAAGGAGAAGGAGGTGGAAATGGGGAAAAAGGGCCTGCGGATCAGAGGCCATCGGCAGGCCTGCCACCCAGGTCCTCTCACTGTCTCCAAGACCAGGGCAGATCAACCACCAAGGGAAAGGGAGGGAGAAGCAGCCTCAGCGGTCAGAGGGGAGGGGCAGGGCTCAACCACTGAGGAACATTCACTGTTGCCTGCCGAGTGCCTGCTCACGGCCTGTTGGTGATTGACTCAAGACTTTGTGAGAATGGGACTTTTATCCCCACTCTACAGATGAGATCATCAAGTCTCAGAGCAGTAGTCACTGAACAGTTAATGAAAAATAGCCCCCAACAGATGTCCACATGCTAATCCCCAGAAACTGTAGATGAGACCTTATTTGGAGAGAGGATTTGCAGATTTGATTAAGTCAAACATCTGCAGATGAGGAGATGGTCCTGGATTGTCCAAGTGGGCCCTAAATGCCATCATGAATGTCCATCTAAGAACGACTCAGAGAAGGACGACACAGAGAAGACCATGTGATCACAGAGGCAGGGATGGGAGGGGTGCGGCCCCCTGCCAAGGAACGCGGGCAGCCACCAGAAGCTGAAATTTCATACAGCAGCCACAGGAAATGAACACAATGAAGAGGCCAGGACGCAGACTGAGATTAGCCTGACATGGCCCACCAGCCCTGCACATCGGAACAAATCCCAGCTCCTTTTGGGAGAAAGGCCCCAGGGCCAGTGAGTCCAGCCAGCCCAGCATGAGCCCAGGCTGCACACGCTCACCCCAGCAGCCACACAGCCCTCCTGGACACCAGCAAACAGAGAGAGTTAGGGCAGCCAGCAAGGCAGCCAGCAGACAGGTAAGGCCCTCCCAGGGACAGCCATGGTCCTGCACTCCACCGTGTCCTCTGAGGACTGCGCCAGCCTGCAAGGGCCTACAGGACCCAGGCGGATGGAAATTAGTGAGAGAGACCTCCAGGACCGCCGCACCCATAGCAGCTGTGTCTGAGCCTGGCTGCGACTGCCTGCCCTCTGCCCTCCATTCCCACATAGCAATCCACCCCAACCTTGTTTCTTAAAACACAAAAAGTCCTTTATTTCTTACACACAGAAGCTTGTTTTAATGTCTTGTTTGATTTAGAAAATGCCAGAAAATGTGAAGAAGAAAATGATGATAACCCATGACACTGCCTCCATGTTCTTCCCAAGTGGCCCATTCTGACCAATGAGACCTTGGCTGAAGCTCTGTTCACATAAAATAAAAGGCAGAGCCTCCGGAGGAGAAAGAGTTTGTTCCTCTGCCTTCCCCCTTCTTCCTGCTGGAAGGTAGACAGGAGACCCGGAGGAAAGCCTGCCGTCCTGTGACCTTCAGAAGCCAAGCAGGGCATGCACAGCCTGCGTTCC
This sequence comes from Homo sapiens, assembly GCF_000001405.40. Taxonomy (NCBI): domain Eukaryota; kingdom Metazoa; phylum Chordata; class Mammalia; order Primates; family Hominidae; genus Homo; species Homo sapiens. Next base: position 86,375,450 of record NC_000010.11, read on the forward strand.
AGGAGGGCAGAGCGAGGCTGCTTTATCAGCCCAGGACACAGGAGCCAATCAGACCCTGGTCTTTATAAGCTTCTGCAGTGAATTTCTCAGTTTTTCGTAACTTAACACAAATCCTACCTGATACCACCAACCAGAAATAACCGCCGTTGACATTGTGATGCTCTTCTTCCCATCCTTTTTTCTATTCAAGTATAATTTTGAAAGAGAAACAGACAAAAATATTACTACCTGAAATTATTTTTCACCTCTTTCTTGCCTGTCTCCACCTATAGAAGGAAAGCCCAATAAGGAGGACGATAGTATTTATCTTATTTACAGTTGTATTCTCAGTGCCTAAAAGAATACCTGGCATGTCTCAAAGATACTCAATAAATGTTAAATCAATTAATTAGTGAATGAATGAACATTTTAATGTGAGCATTTCTCTCTGCTATGAAATTCTCTTCCAAAAATGTGATTTTTTTTTATGGCTGATTACAGTTCTATTCCATGGAGCTATCATACATTATTTAATCATTCATTTGCTATTGAATATTCTCCCCAATTTTTACCATTATAAACAGTGCTTCGGTAAAAAATACTTACACATGCATTTTCAGCTTTTATGCAATTATTTCCTTAGTAGAATAAATACCTAGCAGTGGAATTGCTGGGTCAAAGGTTATGCGTCATTTAAGTCTCTAATACATAGTTCCAAAATTGCCCTCCAAAGCTGTTTTTAAAACCAGTCTACGTTTCCATGGGCAATTCATGAAAGTGTCTGCTTCTCTGCACCTTCAGCAACACTAAGCGTTATTCTTTGTTTCATTCTTGATAAATGAAAAATTGCATCTCTAAGTTGTTTTAGGGTGCATTTCCTACCCACTGGGAACACTGACTGTTCTTTTGCCAGTGTGTGGCTCTTTGTGGGGTCACCTGAGGGTAGCGGCCTGCATCTACCATCATCTGTTGAAGGTCTGTGACCATAGAAGGGAGGGTCTCCTTGGCCTATGGGCCAGTGATCAAGCCTCTCCAGGAAATGTTGGGGAGAGTAGCCAAAGGCTAGACTTCTGGAGTCCACGAGATTTCCAGACTGGAATCATCTGGAATCATGGAGCTGACCTTCCTTCACAGGAGGCCGGGCCATCCCCGTGATCCCCTGCTAAGGGTCATGGTGGGCAGGACAGACACAAGTCCTAATGTGGACCCAGAGCCTGGTGGTTGGGGGTGAGGGGAGACCTTGGGTAGGCCCAGGCGAGGACTGGACGTTTTTGGGGACTGGCAGGGAAGGGAAGCTAATGCCAGGCCCTGAGACCTGGAAGGCTGTTACGGACTCTGAGATGCCCGAGGGAGTTGAATAAGGAGGAAGGAGGGGCCATCCAGGAAGCAGGCTGAGCACAAGCAAAGGCCCAGAGCAGGTTCAAGCATGGGGTGGGCTCAAGCCCAGATCAGGACCACACGGCCCGCGCATCCTCTCCGCCACACTCCCTCCCCAGAGGCCGCGCGCGCCCGCATGCCCCGCTCAGGCCCAGCTCGTCCGCAACCTAATGAAAGCCGAGGTGGGGGTTGTCCAAACATCTCCCGACCCTCACTCTGTGCCTGACCTGGGCCGCGCCCTGAGCCACCGCGCAATTGCCCACATTTCACAGATGGGGGGATTGTGCACGGACCAAGAATGGTCAAGGGCCTCCAGGCCCCACGAGGGGCCGAGAAATAGCCACGCGCGCCGGGGGTTTGAGGGCTGGAGAACCTCATGGAAGAGGCGGTGGGGCGCCCTGCCCCAAGAGACCCCGGGCTGAACAGAGACAGCGGTCTCCGGCCCCCGTGCCCGCCCTACTGGGCTGACGGCTACACGGGCTGGTCTGCCGATTCCGCAGGTGACAGCGCGAGGGACGCAGCGAGGGCGCAGGCCGCCGCGAGGCGCGGTTTCCAAGCCCAGTCGCCGGCGCCGCCCAGGAGCAGCCGCAGTGCAATGCTGCCCCCTGCCGGCAACCGCGGGAACGGGCCCCAGGCGCTGCCGCGCGAGCCGCCCCAGGAGGGAGGACCTGTCCCAAGGATAACCGCACCTCTACGTGGTCCGGAAGGCCTGCACGCTGATGGGCGGTGGGAAGCCCAACAGGGCCTGGTCTCAGTGAAAATAACAGCAATAGCCCACATTTACATAGCGTTTACTACGAGACAGGCACTATTTTAATGCTTTGCATACATTAACTCATGTAATCCTCACCCAATCCTTCACAAGGGAGGCGCTCTTATTATTCCCATTTTACAGAGCAGTAAATGGAGGCACAAGAGAGTTATGTAACATGCCCAGCTGGTATGTGGCAAAATAGGATTTGAACCCAGGCATTCTGGCTCCCCAGCCCACGTCTTTGAACTATCTGCCAGTCAGAAAAGCCAGTGGGGGATCCACTTTACACAGCCCAGCACCCCTGTGTAAATTCCTGCGGATTTCTAGAGCCCAACCCCCATGGTCAGCCCCTGCTGCAAATAACAGGCAGGCGTCCTATAGCGTGGATCATTAACCATTCTCCGTCTGGACCACACACGGAGGGACTGGGACCCTGGATTTCCCAGGGGTCTGTTGGAGACTGCCTGAGCCTTCCCTGAGAGCCTTAAAAGGCCAGGATCCAAAGAGGTGACCCCAGTGTCCTCCTCCTCAGGCCATCCAAGATCCGAAGCAGGAAGAGGGCCTGGGTGAGCTCAGCTTTTGTGAAGAGCTCACTGTGTGCAGCATCTGTCCTGGCAGCCCCCAGTTCTTGCCGCTTCCCCCTCACCCTGATTCCTGCCAAAGTTTCAGGCTCAGCTCTGTCAAAACAGTAAGTCAAATTGTGACAGTCCTACTTAAAGCTCTTTACTACAACTCAACAACAAAACCAACCTGATTAAAAAATCAGGCAAAGGACATGAATAGACGTATCTCCAAAAATGAGATATAAATGACCAATAAGCACATGAAAAGATGCTCAACATCACTAGCCATTAGGGAAATGCAATAAAAACCACAATGAGATACCACCTCACATCCATTACACACTAATCACAATCAATCAATAAATCAAGCAAGGATGTGGAGAAATTGGAACCCTTGTGAATTGTTTGTGGGAACGTAAGAGGGTGCAGCCGCTATGGAATACAGTAGGCCATTTCTCAAAAAATTGAAAATAGAACTACCATATGATTTTCAATTTAACCGAAAGGGTCAAAATCTCACTTAAAGAGTATATTAAGTGCAAAGTTCAAGGACAAGTGGTCCAGGAAGCAAAGATTCCAAAGGATGGAAGTCAGTGTAGATCCAAAGTGTAGAAGTTTAGGATCGTGCATACAGATAAAGTTTAGGGAAGCTTAACAGAACATTTAACATCTTTTTATGTAAGACTTAATACATAGTTACAATGATCTGATTAGTCAAGATGGTCTTTTTCTTCTGGGAAAGGTACACTTAACATTCCACACTGAAGATATAACTATCATGGGGTCTTGGCTGCTATCTGGTCTAAGTTAGGTACAGGACAATAAAAAAGGCAGTTAATTTATAACAAAGATCAGTGACTGGAAGGGGGGAGTTATGGTCTCTGGTCTCCCCTAGTCATTTACAGAACAAGAGCAATGAGTAAGAGAGTTAATTTCTTTCTTTTCTTTTTTTTTTTTTTTGAGAGAGAGTCTTACTTCGTCACCCAGACTGGAGTGCAGTGGTGTGATCTCAGCTCACTGCAACCTCTGCCTCCTGGGTTCAAGCAATTCTCGTGTCTCAGCCTCTCAAGTAGCTGGGATTACAGGCATCCGCCACCACACCTAGCTACTTTTTGTATTTTTAGTAGAGACGGGGTTTCACTATGTTGGCCAGGCTGGTCTCGAACTCCTGAACTCAAGTGATCCACCCACCTCGGCCTTTCAAAGTGCTGGGATTACAGGCGTGCTCCACCATGCCCGGCCTTAATCTATAATCTAAGAAGCAGGATTGCAAACAAGTTACATGAATGAGCCTTCCCCCTTGGTATAATAAATTTAGAGGATTCTGAAATTGTATTTTCTTTTACATGATCGAGCAATTCCACTATGGGTATATATCCAAAAGAATTGAAAACAGGTCCTCAAAGAGATATTTGTACACCCATATTTATAGCAATGTTATTCACAATAGCTAAAGGGTGGAAGAAACCCAGGCGTTCATCAACAAATGATGGATAAACTGTGGTCCATCCATGCAATGGAATATTATTCATCCTTAAAAAGGAAGGACATTTTGACACATGTTCCAACATAGACGAACCTTGAGGACATTATGCTAAATGAAATAAGCGCATCACAAAAAGACAAATACTGGCCAGGCTCAGTGGCTCATGTCTGTATCCCAGCACTTTGGGAGGCCAAGGCAGGTGGATTGTTTGAGCTCAGGAGTTTGAGACCAACCTGGGCAACATGGCAAAACCCCATCTCAACAAAAAATACAAAAAAATTAGCCGAGCGTGGTTACACACACCTGTGGTCCCAGCTTCTCGGGAGGCTGAGACAGGAGGATGGCTTGAGCCTTGAAGGCAGAGATTGCAGTGAGCCAAGATCATACCACTGCACTCTAACCCGGGTAACAGAGTGAGACGTCATCTAAAAAGAAGAAAAGAAAAGACAAATACTGTATGATTCTCTCATAGGAGGTACCTAGAGTAGTCATATTCACAGAGACAGAAAGTAGAATGGTGGTTGCCAGGGTCTGAGGGAAGATGAGAATGGGGAGTTGTTTAATGGGGACAGAGTTTCAGTTTGGGAAGATGAAAAAGTTCAGGAGATGGATGGTGGTGAGGGTTGCACAACAATGTGAATGTACCTAATGCCACTGAACTGTATGCTTAAAAATGGTTAAGATGGTAAATGCTATATTATGTGTATTTTATCACAATTAAAAATAAAAATAATATAAAATCACACAAACCCTTTGCTAGGCCCTCTGTCTGCAGAACAATGGTCAAGTTCCACAGCACTTAGGCTGTAGTGAATTTCTGCAGGACCGGCCCCAGGCAATGCCCCCTGCCCTGAGAGCTGCGCCATCAAAACAACACGGGGCTGTAGCAGGAATGACCGAGGTCGTAGAAGACCCAGGCCCTGACTATGTCTGATTGGTCTGAAGATGGCCACCTACTCCAAACTAGCCAATCAGCACCCTCCTCCAGAATGCTTTAACTAGAATAAAGAGAATCCGGCCCTATAGGTGATGGGTATGTAAGATGTGAAGTCAGGCTAGGTGGGCAGACATGATCCCTGATGGGTGGAAGGAACCAGAGAAGCACAGGCAAGAGGTGGTGGCTGTTCCCCTGCCCTCTCTGCCTTTGCAGTGTGAGTTTCTGCCATGTGTTATGGTCACTGGCAACAAAAAGATTACTGGCTAGAACAGAAGCCCTCCAAAGGGCTCCCAACCCCAAAGTGTAAAACAATTCGGTAACACTAATGAGCCACGCTGTTTCCCACCTCTCAGCCCTTGCTGTTCCCTCTCCTAGGAATGCCTTCTTTCGTGGATGGCCCCCTAGAAATGTATGTGGCTTTTAAGATGAAGTTGAAACTCCATGAACCAGGAAGTCTTTATTACCTACACCCCCAACCCCATGTGGAAGTGACCCATCCTTGGGCCACCTGTGGCTGCAGCACCCACCATCATATATGTCTGTTCTCACACCTGCCTCCCCTTCTAGCTGGAAGAGTCGCAAAAGCTGAGACTCATCTTGTGTTCCCATTACCCAGGAAAGGGTCTAGCACCTAGTGGGTTCTCAATCAATGCTTACTGAATGAAGACGGAGATGCAAAGTAAATATCATCAACCCTCTTTTACAGAGCACACAACTGAGGCTTAATGATGTGGCATCCCAGATCAATCCCCTACAAGCTGTAGGCATCTCCTTGTCTGATCCTACCTCCCAGCCCTCCCCAACTGCTGAAATCCACCCACGTGACTTTAGAACTCCTGGTCAATAGGAAATTCACACCTGGATCCATCATAGTGAAACAGCAGAAAACCAAAGATACAGAGAAAAATTGTAAAAGCAGCTAGAGAAGAAAAAACAGATTTCTTAAACTGACAGCTGACTTCTCAACAACAGTACACACATAACAAGGCGGAAGATAGTGGAGTGGTAGCTTCAATGAGCTGAAAGAATGTTTCTACCCTAGAACTCCACACTAAGGAAAAAAATGTCTTTCAAGAATTAGGATGAAATAAAGATTTTTCAGGCAAACAAAAACTCTGAGAGTTCAATTAGAAGCAGACGTTCACTAAAGGAAATGCTCAAGGAGCTATTTCAGGCAGAAGGAAAGTGATCCCAGATGGAAGGACCTATGCACAGGAAAGAGTGAAAAGCAATGAGCATTTAAATGCATGGGTGAATATAAATGAACACTGTCTAGAACAGTGATGCCTATGGCATACAAAAAAATAAGAACTAAAATATAAGACAATACAGGGATTGTCTGGGGAATATGGCAAAAGTATTCATTAACTGTAAACTTTGGTAAATTAAGTATGCAGATTTTAATTTTGAAGGAAAACACATACACAAAAAAGGAGACAATAACTTTGGATGGAAAAGTGTATGATAAAGTACAGTGAAGTCCAAGAAAATACAGTTGAGCCCAAGAAAGCAAGAAAGAGAAACAGAACAGAAAGCCCAAAATAAAGTGATATTTTAAAAACAAAAATACATTAATAAGTATATTAAATGTAAGAGAATTGAATGCTTTAGTCAAATTGCAAATGTTAGTAAATTGGATTTTTTGTGAAAATCTAGATGTGACAAAAGTCACATTTAGGATATAAAAATAAAGAAATATTGAGAGTAAAAGGAATAAGGATAATGTGCCATGTGAGCATTAACCAAAAAAGAGCTACTGTGGCTATAGCAATATCAGACAAAGTAGACTTTAAGGCAAAAAAGTATTATTAGAGATAAAGAGGATTATTATGTGATGATAAAATATTTCATTTACAAGGGAGACATAAAAATGTTATACTTGTATGCATTTAACAACATAGTCACAAAATATATAAAGTCCAAAATTATATATCTACAAAAAGAAAGACAAATCCAACATCACAGTGAGAGAATTTAGCACAAGTCTCTCAGTATAGACAAGAAAAGCAGTAAAAAGCCGTCACAATTCAGGGAAGAAATAAACCATCTGTAAAATATTATTAACATATTTGATCTAGTGGACACATATAGAATGCTGCACTCAACAAGAGCAGACTACAGTTTCTTTTCAAGCATACATGAACATTTACAAAAAGATAATGTTTAGGCCGGGTGCGGTGGCTCATGCTTTTAATCCCAGCACTTTAGGAGGCCGAGACGGGCGGATTACCTGAGGTCAGGAGTTCAAGACTAGCCTGGCCAATATGGCAAAACCCCATCTCTACTAAAAATACAAAAATTAACCCACCATGATGGTGCATGCCTGTAATCTCAGCTACTTAGGAGGCTGAAGCAAGAAAATCACTTGAATCCAGGAGGCGGAGGTTGCAGTGAGCCAAGATCACACCACTGCACTCCAGCCTGGGCAAAACAGCAAGACTCTATCTCAAAAAAAAAAAAAAGATAATGTTTGATTGAAATAGTATTAAACATGATTTCTTTTTTTTTTCTTTTTTTTTTTTTTTTTTTTTTGGTGAGATGGAGATTTACTTTTGTTGCCCAGGGTGGAGTGTAATGGCACGATCTCAGCTCACCGCATTCTCCGCCTCCAAGGTTCAAGCAATTCTCCTGCCTCAGCCTCCGGAGTAGCTGGGATTACAGGCATGTGTCACCACGCCCGGCTAATTCTGTATTTTTAGTAGAGACAGGGTTTCACCGTGTTGCCTAGGCTGATCTCAAACTCCTGACCTCAGGTGATCCACCCGCCTTGGCCTCCCAAAGTGCTGGGATTACAGGCGTGTGGTGAGCCACTGCACCCGGCCATTAAACATGATTTCTGACAACAATGTAATTAACTTGGTAATTAATATTAAAAATAAAACTAAGAAATACATTCCTAAACAACTCAGTATACAAAAAGAACATGATAAATGAAAATTAGAAAATATTTACAACAGGCCTGTAATCCCAGCACTTTGGGAGGCCGAGGCGGGCAGATCACGAGGTCAGGAGATCGAGACCATCCTGGCTAACACAGTGAAACCCCGTCTCTACTAAAAATACAAAAAAATTAGCCGGGCGAGGTGGCAGGTGCCTGTAGTCCCAGCTACTCGGGAGGCTGAGGCAGGAGAATGGCATGAACCCCAGGAGGCGGAGCTTGCAGTGAGCCGAGATCGCGCCACTGCACTCCAGCCTGGGTGGCAGAGCGAGACTCCGTCTCATAAAAAAAAAAAGAAAGAAAGAAAAAGAAAAAAGAAAATATTTACAACAGAAGAATAACAAAAATGTCACATATCAAAACTCATGCTTCTCTCTAAGTAGCCTTTTATGTATTTGGAAGATTTATAGTCTTGAAGGAAGGCAGAAAATTAATGAAAAAGTGTCCATTTCCGACATTAGAAAAAGAAACGTAAAATAACCCAAAAAGGTAGAATAAAAAAGTCGAGAGTATAAATTAATAAAATATGAAAGATAATACATGCAATAGAGAAATCAAAATAAAATTTAAAAGTCAAAAGTCATTTCTTTGAAACTATTAACAAAGTTAAAAAATCCTGGCAAGACTGATCAAAATGGAAGAGAGAAAAAGAGAAAGAGAGAGAATGAAAATAACTAAGCAAGAGTAAGAAAAAGAAGTTAACCAAGGATCCTACAGACATCAAAAAATAAGAAAATAGTATGAACATATATTTGAAAATTCAAATGAAATGGATAAATTTCTCTCTAAAATACAATTTACCAAAATTTATACCAGAGGAAATGGATAACTTGGGCAGTCTTACAATTATTAAAGAAATGTAAATCCTTGAAGCCCAGATGGTTTCATTGGTGAATTCTACCAAACATTTAAGGAAGAAACAATGTCACTGTTACACAAACTTTTCCATAGACCAGAAAAAGAGGAACCAGGCAGGGCGCGGTGGCTCACGCCTGTAATCCCAGCACTTTGGGAGGCCGAGACGAGCAGATCACCTGAGGTCAGGAGTTGGAGACCAGCCTGACCAACATGGAGAAACCCCATCTCTACTAAAAATACAAAATTAGCCGGGCGTGATGGCACATGCCTGTAATCCCAGCTACTCGGGAGGCTGAGGCAGGAAAATCGCTTGAACCGGGAGGCAGAGGTTGCAGTGAGCCAAGATCGTGCCATTGCACTCCAGCCTGTGCAACAAGAGCGAAACTCCGTCTCAAAAAAAAGAAAAAAAAAAGGAAAAGAAAAAGAGGAACCATCCCAACTTCTTTATGATGCCAGCAGAGCAATATTAAAACCTGACAAAGACATTAGAGAAATGAAAATCACAAGCCACTCACTTTCATGAAAGTAAATGCAAAAATTCTAAATCAAACATTAGCCAACCAAATCAAAAGATATGTAAATAAAATATAAATATATTACAAATATATAATCCATCATGACCAAATTTTATGTATTCTAGTAATGAAAATTGGCTTAACATTTTAAAAAATCAGTGATATTCACCACATTGTAAAGGATTGAAGGAGGAAAAATATTTGAAAACCTGTGGATTCTATGGAACAAAAAAAGGTGCAGTGAGAAGCTTTAAGAAGACCTACATAGATGAAGGGATACACTATAAATAAATATTGGAAGAACAAATATGATACAGATGTCAGTTTAAATCAGAAATTCAAAAGATGTTTTGTGGAACTTGTAAAGTGAGTCTAAAATGTATTGAGAAGTATAAAAAAATAAGATAGCCAAGACACTTTTAAAGAAAAGCAAGATGGGAGAACTTATTCTGCTAGATGTCAAGATCTATTATAAATAGAAATTCAGACAGTGTGGTATTGACTCAAAGATAGAAGATTAGAATGGAACAGAATAGAGAGCCCAGAAAGGACTCTTGCATACACAAACATTTGCTATCTGGCCAAAGTGGTGCTGCAGAGCAGACAGGAATGGACGTTCTTCTTAATAAATGACACTGACATATCCATATGAGGAAAAAGTTAAATTGGATCCCTACTTCACACCATACATTAAATTCCAGGTTGATTAATGACCTAAATAGAAAGAGAAATTCAGAAAGCTTTAGGTGATTAGAAAGTTAGACAGCTCTTATGACCTTGAGGGAGGGGAAAACTTAAACAAGACTTAAAAAGCATTAGCCACAAAGGGGGGAAAAGCTATAAAGAGAGCAAAAACAAAGCCATGATGGGAGAATGTATAAATAAAAAAATAACTCTCCAAAATAAATACTTCTAAACAGAGGGAATATATATCGAACTACAAATCAATATGAAAAAAAGCTACAATCAGGGGAGATGAAAGTTGACTACAAATTCTTTGCTATTCCTCTCATTGAAAGGTGGAATCCAATTCCCCTTTCCTTGAATCTGGGCTGGCCTTAGTGACTTGCTTGACTGAAAAAACACATCTGGGACATTCAACACTAAGTCAGAAGAAGTCCTGCACTTCCACCCAGTGCTTGCAATGCTTGTTCTGGGGCACACCTGAGACTGCCCCACTGTGACGAAGCCATTCCCCAGCTAGCCCTGCCCCTAGCCATTGAGTCATCACAGCTGAGGACAAGTCCTGCTCAAGCTGAAGACCCATGAGCAAAAGAAATTAGTGCTGCTTTTTCCGGTCACAAAATTTTGGGGTGGTTGGCTATGTAGCAGTACGTAATCAGAATAACAACCTAATAGAAAAATGGACAAAACGTTTGAACAGGCACTTTTCAAAAGAAAAAATTCATTTGTGATTAGAGAAATGCAAATTAAAACTAGAATGAGATGCCATTACACATCCATCAAAATATAGGAGTGTAAAATTATGTATCCACTTTGGAAAGAGTTTGGCATCACCTATTCAAGCTGCAGATACACATGCCCTCTGACCCAGCATTTCCACTCTACCCTAGGGAGACTCCTGCACAAGGGCACATGTGACAGACCTATGAACATTCACAGCAGCACTGTTTGTGAAAGGCAGAATCTGCAAACAACCCAAACTTCCATCTTAGTGGAGTAAGTAAATAGATCATTGCAATATGTTTCTACAATGGACCCCTATGCAGCCATGAAAATGAACAAGCTAAAACTATAGAAAACATGAATGCTATTCACAAACATGACATTGAATAAAAGGCAAAACCAATACAAAACAAAAAACAACCGTATTTAGTGGCCTTCTATTCAAATGAATAGAAATAACAACCAAAACAAATTTAGGAATGCACTGAGATAGTAAAAAACTACTTTTTAAATATTATCAGTGTCAGCTGGGCATGGTGGCTTATGCCTGTAATCCCAGCACTTTCAGTGGCTGAAGTGGGAGAATCACTTGCGGCCAGGAGTTTGAGACCAGCCTGGGCAACATGGCAAAACGCCATCTCTACTAAAAATATTAATACAAAAAATTAGCCAGGCATGGTGGCACACACCTGTAATCCCAGCTACTTGGGAGGCTGAAGCAAGAGAATCGCTTGAACTCAGGAGGCACAGGTTGAAGTGAGCCAAGATGGTGCTACTACACTCCAACCTGGGAAACAGAGTGAGACTCTATCTCAAAAATAAAAATAAAATAAAATACTATCAATGTAGCCAGAATGGTGGTTATATCTAGAGCAGAAGGAAAGGATTATGATTGCAGAGCAGCACTGGGAAGATGTGTGAGGTGTTAATCCCCTTAATTTTTTTAACCTGGGTGGTGGTTACATAGTACCTACTTCATTCACAGAATGGCATATTTGTGTTTTATGCACTTTTCAGAAAATATTGTTAGCCTAAGGAAAAAAGGAGAACTTCCACAAGCTCCACCTAGCTGCAGCGAAGTGCACATAATTCGCACCCTCCTGCCCGTTGCTGTGGGTGAAGCACCTCCTGACAGCCAGCACTAGGCCTTGCTCCGCCAGGCCTCCCTCTCCTGCATCAGCCCACCTGCCTCTGCAGGACCTGCACTCACATATCCCTCCAGATGCTCCCCATCTTCCCTTCAAAGCGCACACTGTGGGAAGGCTTGTATAGACTCGCTGTCTCCAGCTGTTCTCTTCTCATTCTCTCTTGAACTCACTCCAATCAAGCTTTCCCCCCACCATTCACCCACACTGCTCTGTCAAGCTCACTAATGACCTCATGGTGTTAGATCCAATGGTCGCCTCTCAGTCCTCCTCTTGAACTGTCAGTGGCATTTAGGACAGCTGAGCAGCCCTCCTCTTAAACACTCTTTTCACTTGGCTTTAGGGGCCTCCTCCCACCCTCCTGGTTTTTCTCCAGCCTTCCTGGCTGCCCCAGCTCAGTCTCCTCCAGTCCCTCCTTCTCCTATCTCCCCTACCCACCTTTTCTCGGTCACTCTTTGGATGATCTCATCCAGTTCCAATGCTTTAAAATGCCATCTCTACGTTTATGACTCCCAAATCTTGATTTCTAGCCCACCACCCCCAACCCTCCCCCCGTGAAGTCCTGCCTCACTGATACAGCCAGCATCTAACCAGCATCTCCACTTAAAGGTGGAATATTCATCTTCAATGGGAGGTGTAGAAAAAGTGAGCTCCACATCTCCCCACCCCCAAACCGGCTTCTGCTGCCGCCTTCCCCACCCGGCAACTTCCATCCTTTCTGAAGCTCAAGCCAAAAACCTGAGAGTCATCCCTGATTTTCTGTTTCCCTCCTTCCACCCCACATCCAAGCCAGCAGCAAATCCTGTCTGCTCTGGCTTGGATAAAGATCCAGAATCCAGCCCCTTCTCACCCCTCCGCGACCACCCCCGAGGCCTCCTGCCTCATTGCAAGAGCTCCTAACTGGTCCTGGGATCCACCCGTGCCCCCTGCGCGTGTTTGCAGCAACAGCATCCAGACTGACTCAGTTACACAGTGTGTCGCGTCCTGTCATTCCTCTGCTGAGAACCTTCCGCCTCCCGCCTCCCTCAGAGGAAAAGCTCCCTCCGCAGGAGGGTTTCCTCTCTATCCTCATCCCCAGACCTCTCACCTCTGCCTCAGTACAGTGGCCTATTTATTTGTGCCCCTGGAACACACCTTTGCACCTACCGATTGCTCTACCTGGGAAGCTCCTCCCCCAGACAGATACCTGCATTCAAGTTTTCACTCACTTGCCCTTCTCAGGGAAGCCTCCCAGACCATCCTACTTAAAACTGCAGGACCTCTTTCCTGCGGTCCCTATCCCCTTTCCTGCTATGTTTTCCCCTAAGGAATATCACCACCTAACAGTCTATGCTTTTTTTTTTTTTTTTTTTTTTTTTTTTTTTTTTTGAGACGGAGTCTCGCTCTGTCGCCCAGGCTGGAGTGCAGTGGCGGGATCTCGGCTCACTGCAAGCTCCGCCTCCCGGGTTCACGCCATTCTCCTGCCTCAGCCTCCCAAGTAGCTGGGACTACAGGCGCCTGCCACTACGCCCGGCTAATTTTTTGTATTTTTAGTAGAGACGGGGTTTCACCGTTTTAGCCGGGATGGTCTCGATCTCCTGACCTCGTGATCCGCCCGCCTCGGCCTCCCAAAGTTGTGGAATTACAGGCGTGAGCCACCGCGCCCGGCCCAGTCTATGCTTTTTAAAAACCTATTTGTGGCCAGGCGCGGTGGCTCACGCCTGTAATCCCAGCACTTTAGGAGGCCGAGGTGGGCGGATCACTTGAGGTCAGGAGCTCGAGACCAGCCTGGCCAATATGTGCAACCCCCTCTCTACTAAAAATACAAGCTGGGCGTGGTGGCACGCGCCCGTATTCCCAGCTACTCAGGAGGCTGAGGTAGGAGAATCGCTTGAACCCGGGAAGCAGAGGTTGCAGTGAGCCAAGATTGTGCCACTGCACTCCAGCCTGGGCGATAGAGCGAGACCCGTCTTAAAACAAAACAAAACAAAAACCTATTTGCTTGTTATCTATCTGCCTACACTAGACTGTAAGCTCCAGGTGGTATGCTCAGTGCCTGTAATGGCGCCTGGCACGTGGAAGAGGGTCAATGTTAATTAAAGGAATGAGGGTGACTTGCACACGCCGCATAGTAAAGCGGCAGAGAACTTGCATCAGGCGTCTCTGACCACCGAGCCTGCGAAGACCTAGCTGATTACGACCAGGAAACAGGAGGGGACATGGCCCAAGGTGGGCGGGGCCAGTGCTGGGAAGCCCCGCCCCGCCCCCGATCCTGTGCTCCCAGGTCTGGGCGTTAGGATTCTCTCAGTCCCGGAGCCACGCCGGCTGACCGCAGGGCTCGGGGAGCGCGGCTGGGCCCCTTTTCCCGGGTCCGGGAAGCGCCGGGCCACGCCGGGTCCGCTGGAGAGACTGAGGGCCAGGGTCGCCGCTGCCGCCGGGAGGCGACAGAGCCAGCTGGGCGCACCTGGGTGCTGGCGGCTGCGGAGTCGCGGGGCCCGGTCCTGAGGTCACCTTCCCACCCCGACCTCACGCCCCTTCCTGGTCTGACCCATCACTGCGGCCCACCCGGCTGACAGCGCCCGAGACCCGCGGCGAGCCATCAGGGAGGAGCTGCGGGCTCAGGGTGCAGGAACCTTGGGGACGAGCTGAAGAATGGGTTAATAACCAGGCAAAGAGCGAGGAGGTGGCTGGGCCTGGGGCGTCTGAAGCTGGGGCTTGGGTTGTTCCTTGAAGGAGCAGACAGAAGGCCAGTGTGGCTGGACTCGCCAGGAGGGCTGCTGAGAGGAGGAGGGGCTGGAGGCCCCAATGAGGATTTGGGCTTTTCCTCAAAGTGCCACTGCTACTTTTAATTGTTTGTCACCAGAGAAACAGGATCAAATTTGTCTTGTAAACACCTCTGACTTGGATGGGAGGGAGAGGGAAATGGAAGTGAAAAGCGTTATTCAGGAACAAGGCCAGAGCCGGCCTGGACCAGGGAGTGGAGGCAGGTGTAGGCGTAGAGAGGGATAGATTTTGGAGTTAGAATCGATGGGACCTGAGGATGAGTTAATTGCAAGTGGGGGCGATTAAAAAAAAAAAAAAAAAGCCAACACAGACTCCAGGGTTCTCGCTTAAGCAGCTGCAGAGAGGAGCTGCCGCTTCAGGAAGCGGGAGAGGTCGTTCCAGAAGGCAGTTTGGGGCCATTAAACTTTGACACTCATGAGATTAGAGCAAATCTGTTCCAATACTTAAATCACTGGGAGAAACCGCTTACCAGGGAATTTCCAGTGAAGTTGCCAGTAGAGGGTCTTACTCCAGATCACAAAAAATGCTACCATGCCTGGTGGGGCTGGACTCCGTCTATGTTGGGTTTGGGCCTGGATAAATGTTGCAGCCAGCCTTGATCCTGGGGAGAGGTATTTAAGGATGGGAACATAAAGGCAGCAGCAAAGGAGATTGTCACATGTATGTGGCGATGACAGTCCCATTATCTGCCTGCCTGTCCCTGTGGCCGTGTGTGCCCAGTCCAAGGAGCCAACCTTGCCGGCCGCTGTCCCCTGTGAAGGCAGCAGGACTCACTGAAGCTGGACTGTGGTTATGACCCTGGACTGTTGAGCCAAAACTGTCTGGGTTTGTAATCCCAGCTCCACCTCCTGCTACCTGCATGGCCTTGGGCAAGTTTCTGTGCCTGTTTCCTCATCTGTAAACTGGGAATAATAACATCTAGATCATATGATTGTGGTGAGACACTCACCACCTTATAAAGGATTTACTACTTGATTAAGAAGAACCACGAGCCTGTGGGGACCAGCTCGGAGTGCAGCCACAGATTCCTTAATAAGCTCGTTGGATTTTTAAGTAACATTTTTTTTTTGCTTCCCATGCCAGATGGAGCTGTCACACTGGCAGGTGGTGCTCAGAGGAGGGGTCAGGCTGGAAGGCACCTGTGTAGGACACGATGCTGGTGCCTTGAGAGTGGAGGCACCACCCTGGGTTGGGCTTCTCAGCCCCCACAGAGCACTTACATCACCTGAGAGTGTTGGAAAAATGCCAGTGACCCTGGCCCTCCCCTGGACGCGATCAGCCTGGGCATCAGCATTTCGCAGAACTCCCTGATGATTCTCGTGCAAAGCTAAGATTGAGAACCTCAGGTCTAGGGAGGTCAGGTGGCAAGAGAAGGGCAGGAGCTGAGCAACTGAGCAGCTGAGCAGGGGCAGGGGAGGGTAGGGTGCAATTTCAGAGGCCAGGCTGAGGAGGAGGAGTGAGCAAGGAGACTGAGACCATGTGGCCCTGGTGCGGGAGTGAATCCAGGAGCAAACTGAAGAGGCTGGAGCTTGAAACAAGGGAAGAGGCAGAGCAAGGGACTGCAGAAGTCAAGGACTGAGATGTGGTGATTCCACGTGGCCCGGGAGGTCCCTGGTGACCTTAGCAGACAGGATGCTGGGTGAAGCTAAAAGCTAAAATGGACAGTAGAGTCACCAACTAAGATTAGAAAACACCTGTAGATATAAACAGGGGAAGGAGAAGAGATAGTAGCCGGAAGGAGTTGTGGAGTCAAGGGAAGTTTGGTTTGTTTTCTTTTTAGGGCCTCCTGGGCCTGTTGGGAGGCTGGGGAAGCCCCCAGGAGAGGGAGCAGAGGGAAGCAGGAGGTATGGGAACAGGTCCTTGAGGAGAGAGAAGATGCACCAGAGCCCGGAGGGGCCACTTCTGAGGGAGGAGGGAAGAGGAAGGTGCCAGCCAGAGAGTGGACTCACAGCTGTGAGACAGGCTCCACGGTCCTCCCAAGACCAGAGTCAGGGGTTTAGAGAGAGGGAACAGCTGGAAGGAAAGGAGAAATGCTCTAAGCGGGGGACAGAACTTAGAGACCTGTCTCTAAGGACAGACTCCACGTCTCCCAGGCCTGGGTTGCTGATAGCAGGAGAGGAAATGGCGTCCCCACACTGGAGAAGACTGAAGAAGGGGCAGGGCCTAGGCCAGCCCATGTCTATCAAAGCATCAGGGTGGGATGCTCAGAGAAGTGTGCGGACGCAGGGAGCTTGGGGGCTAGAGTCCTTGAGAGTGCCCTGGAAGGGGAGGGGAGCAAGGGGAGGCTAGAGGTGGGGTAGGTGGAGGGGCTGCAAGCGGCAGGGTGGGAGTAGAGGAGAAGGCTGCGACCTGGGAAGCGTCATCACTGAGGTTGGCCGTAGCACTGGAGCCCACCTCCCCCACCCCAGTACCTGGCCAACTCCAGGCCCAGCCTGGCAGCTCTTCCTCCTGGAACTCTTTCCATACACTTCTAGAAGAGCTTGGTTCTCCTTCCTGGCTGTGCTCTGTGACCTGAGCCCACCTCAGGTAGAGCCCGCTGAAACCTAACCCCTAAATCACCCCTGGGTGCCAGTGCCATCCTGAGCCCAGGTCAGACATGGTCCGGCAGGGCTGGGATGGACGCACGAATGATGCTTAGGAAGTCACGTCTGCATGTCTCAGGGAGTCTGTCAACCTGAACGAGTGAAAGTAGCAAGAACTAATTTAGAGTTATTGAAAGAGGAAGGTCAAGTCCTGATCCCACCTGCCTCTGCTGGTCTCCTCCCTGTGGGTCCTGGGCCCCATGCTGTCACCCTATCCTGGCAGACTGAAGCTGGGGAAAGTGTGCAAGTGACACGTGGTCAGCAAGCACAGCGCCATCCAACACTAAGATGTGGGGCCAGGAAGGTGGACCCAGCTATCAGAGGGGAGGGGGGAATGCTAATTTTTCTTTTTCTTTTTTTCTTTTTTGTTGGGGGTGGGGGTACGGAGTCTCACTCTGTGGCCCAGGCTGGAGTGCAGTGGCATGATCGCAGCTCACTGCAGCCTCTGCCTCCTGGGTTCAAGCAATTCTCCAGCCTCAGCCTCCTGAGTAGCTGGGATTACTCCCAAGTAGCTGGCAGGCGCATGCCACCACACCAGCTAATTTTTGTATTTTTAGTAGAGACAGGGTTTCGCCATGTTGGCCAGGCTCCAGGCTGGTCTCAAACTCCTGACCTCAGGTGATCTGCCCACCTCGGCCTCCCAGAGTGCTGCGATTACAGGTGTGAGCCACTGCACCCGGCCCAATTCTTCTTTTTAAAACGCTCATTTTGTTATTGTATTCTGACAGTGAGATGCACAATGACATCACAGTGTGTGTGCAGCACTGCTTGGAATATGAAGCAAGAATGTGCAATGGAGGACACGGAGGCCAGGGGTGGAGCTGTGGCAGCAAGGGTGGGGCGGGCACTGCTGTAGAGTAGGACATCAAGGTGCAGTGTCGTGAGCATAAGAAGCAAGAGGAGCACCAGGGCAAACAACCACTGGGCTCAGCCGTGCCTCTCACACCTCCTCCCAGGCGTTCTCCAGCACTGGTAGGGTGGGGGGTGATAGACAGTCAGGAATTAAACTTCAAATTATACTCAACTGCAGAATGATAAAGTTATTTCCTTCTTATTTATTTTCCAACTCTTCT
The DNA here is from genome assembly GCF_000001405.40 of Homo sapiens. Lineage (NCBI taxonomy): Eukaryota > Metazoa > Chordata > Mammalia > Primates > Hominidae > Homo > Homo sapiens. The sequence goes on from NC_000010.11 coordinate 86,393,827, forward strand.
GATTATTCACAGGGGAAATAAAAAGTGCTCGTGTAGAGATAATACATTTTCATTATAAAATTTTTAAACATACAGAGAAATAATGAAGTAACAGACACCCTTACTGGCCATGCAGAAATAATCCATGAAATCCCTTTGCTTTGGAGCTGTTTCTCTGTCTGCTAGAAATAAACCACTATAGAGAGAGCTGAGGATCATCCCTTCCCTCCCCTCCCCTCCCCGTGCCCCAGCGGCACAGCTGTTGACGTGTAGTATTGGTTATTGTGTTAGTCAGCTGTAAGGTCTAACTGACTTTTCTACACTTTGATATATGTGTATATTTCCATTAATGATGTATATTATAGCTTCAGTGTCTTTCACTTTACATAAATTATGATAATACTGTGTATATCGTGTTGCAGCTTGCTTTTATCTTGCATCATGTTTTTGATGTTTAGATGCGTTGGCAGACGGAGTTTCATACTGTCTGGCTTTGCTGCTTTGGAGTATTCGATGATAGACAATGCCGCATCTCACTCTCCTGTTCCCCTTCCAGGGCAGAGTCGGTTTTTTTCCACTTCTTTAGAATGGCCAACAGTGCCACAGTGAATGTCTTGGTACTTATGCCCTTGCGAACATAGGAACAGGTTTCTCTAGAGCAGTTACTTACAAATGTCTCTACCTAGAGCAGATACTTACAAATGTCTCTACCACAAAGTATGCAGATATCTAAGTAGGATTAACAAAGTGTTCTCCACATAGTAGGCTGATTCAGATTCCAACAAACGGAGTACACAATTTCCTGTTTCTGCCCGTCTCGCCAGCTTCCCTATGGTTCCCTCTCTGAAAATCTTGTTTTACCCTTACTCCTGAATGATAGTTTAAAATGAAATGTATCATCAGGGCTGGGCACAGTGGCTCAAGCCTGTAATCCCAACAATTTGGGAGGCAGAGGTGGGTGGATCACTTGAGGTCAGGAGTTCAAGACCAGCCTGGCCAACATGGTGAAACCCCATCTCTACCAAAAATATAAAAAATTAGCTGGGTGTGGTGGCACGAGCCTGTGTAATCCCAGCTACTCAGGAGGCTGAAGCAGGAGAACCACTTGAACCCAGGAGGCAGAGGTTGCAGTGAGCCAAAATCATGCCACTGCACTCCAACCTGGGCAACAGAGCGAGACTCCGTCTCAAAAAAAAAGGTGACTTCAGACTTTTTAAGTTGTGCAAATCTTATGGGTTTACAGAAGTAAAGGTTTGTTTTTCTTTTTCTTTTTTTAAGGCAGGGAGAATTTTAGCCTGGTTTTTTGTTTTTTTTAATTGTTGCTGTTGTTGTTATTTTGTTTGTTGTTTTTTTTTTTTTTTTTTTTAGACAGTCTCGCTCTGTCATCCAGGCTGGAGTGCAGGGGTAAGATCATAGCTCACTTCAGCCTCCACTCCCAGGCTCAAGTGATTCTCCCACCTAAGCCTCCCAAGTAGCTGGGACTATAAGCACACCCCACCACACTCAGCTAGTTTTTTTGTATTTTTAGTAGATGAAGTCTCACTATGTTGCCCAGGCTGGTCTCAAACTCCTGAACTCAAGTGATCCTCCTGCCTCGGCCTCCCAAAATGCTTGGATTACAGGCATGCACCACAGCTCCCAGCCTACATATATATTTTGTTGTTATTGTTGTTGAGAGAAAGTCTCTCTCTGTCAGCCTCTACCTTGCAGGCTCAAGTGAGCCTCCCACCTCAGCCTCTGGAGTAGCTGGCACTGACTACAGGTGCATACCACCATGCCCAGCTAATTTTTTTTATTATTATTTTTGTAGAGATGGGATTTTGCCACGTTGCTCAGGCTGGCCTCAAATTCCTGGGCTCAAGCAATCTGCCCACCTCGGCCTCCCAAAGTGCTGGGATTACAGCATGAGCCACCACACCCAGCCTATATTTTATTTATTTGAGATGGAGTTTCTTTCTGCCACCCAAGCTGGAGTGCAGTGGTGTGATCTCAACTCACTGCAACCTCCACCTCCCAAGTTCAAGAGATTCTCCTGCCTCAGCCTCCCAGGTAGCTGGGATTACAGGCGCCCACCACTACACCCGGCTAATTTTTGTATTTTTAGTAGAGATGGGATTTCCCCCATGTTGGCCAGGCTGGTCTTGAACTCCTGACCTCAAGTGATCCGCCCGCTTCAGCCTCCCAAAGTGCTGAGATTACAGGTGTGAGCCACTGTGCCTGGATTCAAAGTATCCTTTTTAAACAAATAACTTCATTTTTAAAATGAACAAAAGACCTGAATAGACATTTCCCAAAAGAAGGCATACAAACGGTCAGCAGGTATATGAAAAAATGTTCAATATCACTAATCATCAAGGAAATGCAAATCAAACCATGATGAGATACCATCTCACCCAAGTTAGAACGGCTATTATCAAAAAGACAAAAAATAACAGACGTTGGCAAGGATTCGGAGAAAGGGGAACACTCATACACTGTTAGTGGGAATATAAACTAGGACAGCCACTATGAACAACAGTATGGAGGCGCTTCAAAAAACTAAAAGTAGAACTACCATATGATCTAGCAATCCCACTGCTGGATATATCCAAAAGACAGGAAATCAGTAAACCTAAGAACTATCTGCACTCCCATGTTTATTACAGCACTGTTCATATTAGTCAAGAAGTGAAATCAACCTAAGAATCCACCAATGAATGAATGGATAAGGAAAATGTGGTATATATACACAAAGAAACATTATTTGGCCATAAAACAGAATAATATCCTTTCATTTGTAGCAACATGGATGGAGCTGGAGTTCATTATGTTGAGTGAAATAAACAGGTACAAAAATACAAATATCACATGTTCTCACTCAAATGTGGGAGCTAAAAAAGTGGATCTTACGGAGGCATGGAGTAGAATGATGCTTACCAGGGCCTGAGAAGGGTAGAAGGGAGAAGAGATAATGAAAAGTTGGTTAGTGAATACAAATATACAGTTAAAAGAAATAAGTTCTAGTGTTTGATAGTACAGTAGGGTGACTATAGTTAACAATAATTGATTATATATTCCAAAATAGCTAGAAGAGAAGAATTGGAATGTTTCCAACACAAAGAAAAATGTTTGAGGTGATATATAATCCAATTACCTGAATTTGATCATTACACATTGTATACATGTATCAAACTATTGGGTGTACCCTCAAAATATATACAACCATCATATATCAATAAAACAAAGTGTCCTTTTTAAAATACATTAAATTTAATCTGAAAAATGGCAGTGGTGGTGAAAACATAACTTTGTGCTTTCTGAATCCCCACATAATTATAGTCAGAGCAACAAGACATTAAAACCAAAACCCGTGGACAACATTGCAACAAAACTAAGTGATAGGTTATCCTGTCACCACAAAATGCAAGTGGGTGGACAACAACCATGACACCTGCACAGCATCAGCATGCGCTGGGGGAAAGCCGAGGGAAGCAACAGGTTACCTGGGCACCTGAGGGCCCTGTTCATCCACAGTGCAGGGGCCGGGTGAGAACCAGCAGTTTGTCTCACTCCAGATCTTACCAGATCTGCGGTAAGATCTGAAGGTCTGTGAATTCTCTCACTGATCTGCGAGGGCTCCCTTCCGGACTGCACCCCACAATGGACAGCAACTGCTGGAAATTGAATCAAAATTAAGCAGGGGCCAGGCATGGTGGCTCATGCCTGTAATCCCAGCAATTTGGGAGGCCAAGGGGGGAGGATTGCTTGAGGCCAGGATTTTGAGACCACTCTTGGCCACATAGTGAGACCCAGTCTCTTTAAACTCGCCCGCAGAGTTCTTTTTTCTTTTTTTTAACAGGATGAGAAAAATAGGAGCTTCAACTCATCTCCAACCAGGGTGAGGCAGGTGAGCAAAGAAAGGTCCTGGCTTGCAGCAAAGAATTTCAGAGCATACTAAACAGTTAAGGGATGCAGAAAATGAGATTTTAATGCAATAATTTTTTAAACAAAATTCAATGCCAAAAAATCCAGGATGAACAAAATATCAACCTTTTAAATAAAGATAGGATATTAATAGTCTTGTACTGAACCATACTGGAGCCTGAGGCCAAAGGAATAATCAGTGATGCTGATCCTGTCTTTATTATAGTGAAACAGTAACACGGTCCATAGCCCTTCTTGAGGATCTACTAAAGCACCAGTCGCAGAGACCAAAATAACTAGAGAAACATCACATTAATGATTGGTGATGATTAACAAATGTATAGTTATTTGTGGAGTGAAGACTAAATGAGGGTTTAAAAAGAGAGATTATGCTATCTAATGGCTTTACCATCTGAGAATGTAGAGTACAAACAAAAATAGGGGGTAGGCTGGGTACAGTGGCTCACGCCTGTAATCCCAGCACTTTGGGAGGCCAAGGAGGGCAGAACACCTGAGTTCAGGGGTTTGAGACCAGCCTAGCCAACATGGTGAAACCCTGTCTCTACTAAAAATACAAAAATTAGCCAGGCATGGTGGCATGTGCCTGTAATCCCAGCTACTCGGGAGACTGAGGCAGGAGAATCGCTTGAACCCAGGAGGCAGAGGTTGCAGTGAGCCAAGATTGTGCCACTGCACTCCAGCCTGGGCAACAGAGCAAGACTCTGTCTCAAAAAAAAAAAAAAAAAAATGGGGGGGATAAAAATAACATATGCAGAAAGAAAAAGTTTTAGGTGTTTTCAGAAATTATAGCTAGTTATGGTATTGATATTGTTATTCTGAACCTGTAAGTATATAAATTGAAATAAAACAAATGACTAATTGGATTCTAATTCAGTTATTCCTGGTGTCCTTAAGAACCAGGATTCCCAGTGTGGAAGAAAAGAAATACAGGTGTAATCAAGAAGTCCTCCACTTAACGTAGTTACATCAGTATAAATTCCCAGTGTATTTTATCATATATGTAATTTACAGCTCCTCCATTGAAAAGACCTAGAAACAAAGATCAACCAAGAAGTGAAGAGGATTCCTAGCACCCCAAACTGGTAAGATGTCTTGTCATTCCAGATAACAAGGAAGTGTTCAAAGGCTACTAGGGTCACATCTAAAGGACCCAAGGATTAACCTGAAGGGCTCCAGCTGCCCAAAGAGGGGACAATTTGTATGTTACTACTGACAGTAACTGCAACGTATTGAAATCCATCTAGCACATTTAAATCCTTGGCATCGTGATGGTATATTTTTTTAACTCTTCATTTTGGGAGGATGACAGGGTAGCAATTCGTCATCTTGAAAACGGATAAATAAATGCAAAGAAACAAGCATTTACCCGCCTTTCCTCTGTGAACGGTTCCACTGGGTAACCAAATAGCAGATGAGGAGAAGAGTCTCTTTATAAAATCAACCCAGATGATAAATGAAAAATAAATTATATAATTAGTATATCACCATTTTCATCCCCCAGTGAATTAATGAATGTAAGCATTGGACATCGTCTCTCCTCAGATCTCAAAAAATAGAGACAACCAGACATTATGTGCCTCCTGACAAAACAGCACTCCACCACCTGGAGTCTCACCAAAAATCTTGAACCTGAGTCTGATCAAGCCTTTGGATCCAGCTGTCAATTTGCAGGAAATGCAGAAAACAGGGAGATGTGTTGAACTGCACCAGGAGAATGCAATCAGTGAAATCCAGACTAGAAATCTCTTCAGATTCTTCCAAGGATACATTGCAAGGAAAAGAAAGTGATGGAGAAAGAAACTACAAATTAAAGAGACTTAAAATATATTAACAAAATGAGCAAGTCTAATTTATAGCCTCTAGAGAGGCGAACTTGGGTGACAACAATTTTTTAAAAACTCGGGTAAGTAATTACTATGAAAGGCAGGAGAGTGGCTACTTTGGGAAGGAGGGAGTCGAGTGAAATCGGGAAGGAGCACGGGTAAGGTATTCTGGGGGAAAGTACTGTTTCTTGGCTTGGGTAGTGGTTACAAAGGTGTTCATTTGATAATAATTCACAAATCTTCACATTTGTGTGGCTTTCTGTGTATTGGCGATTGAATTCAAACTCAGAACTGCTAAGGCCAGCGCCCAAGGCAGCCGACCGCAGAGGCGGGTGGGCAGAGTGGATGAAAAGCAGGCGCTCGGGCCTCCAGGCCTGGCGGGGACAGGAATGTGTTCCGGGCCCCTTGCAGGAGACGCACTGCAGGGGGCGCTGCGGGCACACTGAGACCTCGGAGAGGATCACAGCTCCTGGACCTAGCCCGCGACGCGCCCAGAAGCCTCTATCGCATTCAACTCAGAGCACGACCGCTCGGGAGGAGCGGGCCCATCCAGCCCAGGGGAGGGACCAGGCCGACTTCCGCGCAATGAGCCCTAGGCGGCCGCGCAGCGGTGCAGTGGGCGCGGAGCTGGCAATCAGCGACGACCCGCGGCTGCGGCCCTGCGGGAGCTGCACCATGCGGTCCGGGGCGAGTCGGCTGACACGCGCGCTCACGGCGAGTGGAGCCGGGAATCCAGACCCCAGACGCACGGCCGAGGACCGGCAGAACCCGCTGGATTGGCAGCTCAGGAGCGGGAGGGCGGAGGCGGCGGGCGGGGCCGCTGGAGGCCTGCAATCCCAGCGCATCCCGGGGAAGACCGCCCGCCGGTGTCCGTGTGGCCCCGCGCTCCTGGGGTGGGGCCCGCCTCGTCACCCCGCCCCGTCTGTCTCCTGGTCTCGGCTCGCCGCCGCCTCCGATGAACCTTCTCGGCCTTCCGCCGAGCTCGCCTGAGCGCGCTCCTAACCTGGCTCTGGGCTCCGCCGCTGGTCGCACGGGGATTGTGTCGGCCTCGCCCCCTCCCGCTCCTCCCACACCCTCACCTTCCAGGCGGGGAGGAAGGGCTGCAGCCCCACGGCCGCCGGAACGCCCTCCCGACCCAGGGAGAATCAAGGCCAGGGCTCTCCACCGCCCCTTCCATATCCGGGTCCCCGAGGCGGGCTAGGGTCTGTGGTTTGGGGACAGAAGAGGTCGCGATTGGAGCTGGTGGGCTCCCCTAGGGGAGAGCAGGGAGTTGGAGACGCAGCTCGGCCGAGCTTTCCTTCGCCCACCCACTTTTCGGGTTGGAAGACTGAGGCAGCGGGCATGACTGGGGCCCCGCAGTGCCGGCGCCTCTGGAGGCAGAGAGAGCGCCTGGAAGGCGGCGCCGACGCCGCGGTGCGTCACTCGCCCACCTACTTACCAAAGCAGGTGACACTCGCAAACCCTGGCCCCGCGCCGCCCGCCCCAGGGTGCGGGGGAGAATAAAAAGGGCAGAAGACAGGAGTGGGGCCTAAGGGCGCGCGTGTCCCCCCGACCCCTAGCCTCCTCTCCAGGTGAGCGGCGCGCCCCACCCGGGCCTCCGAGGCCACCGCTGGGTAAAGGGAGCGAAGCCGAGGGGGGCGCCCGTGCTGGCTGGGGTCCGAGACCCGGTTTCCTCCGTGACCCAGCAAGTGTCGAGACGCGCCCAGGGACAGGAGCTGGACTTGGAGTCCACTAGGGGCAATCTCCCGCCCTTCCCGCTGCTCCGTGCCAGGCCCGAGCTTGTCTCGAGCCAGAAGGGCCAGCCTCGGAGGAGGTTACAGCGTCCGGGCGGCCGGACGGGAGCTGACAGCACACCCGTGGCCCTGAGCGGCGACGCGCCCTAGAAAGCCCGTGGGCCCGACCCCGCGGGGGGCCCTCCCCACCCCGCCCGGACGTCCTCCTCACGCCGATCCTTTCCCTCTTTCTTCCCCTTGGACCTCTGTCCTCAACTTTCTTCTGTCCCTTTCCTCGAAGGACACCTCTCCCAGGACTGGGGCCGCGCTCCAGGGCTCCCCCTCCCCCGCCACCCGCGCAGCCCGGCATATGCCTCGACCCAGCACCCGGGCCTCAGAGGAGCTGGGGTGAGGCCTGGGACGTGACAGACTAGGTCCCTGCCCTCTGGGGCTTCCATTCCGTGGGGGAGCAGCAGAAACTGGCGCGTCTACCTTTGCCAGTAGCTAGGAGTGCCATGAGAACAAGGGAAGGGGTGGGAGGGCGTCGCCTACGGAGACGAAGGAAGGCCTCCCGCGCTCATCCGCCTCCGCCTTCGGAGCACTGTGCTTGGTGTCATAACTTTTTACTGAAAAAAAAATTTCAAAGAGAAAATATTCTAAAATAAACAGCAATAAATCAGATGAAGGGGGTCAGCAATACATAAAACGTGGTACAATTTATGGTAGAAAGAGGTAAAATTTTATTTCTATTATCCAATGCCAAAGGACACCCCAAATGGTTCTGAGGATACCTTGGGCAGGTGCCAGATTTGGGGAGGCGAGGGGGAGGGAATCAATGGGACTCCAGTTCAATGACTTCGGTTCTTTACTTAAAAAAAAAAAAGTACTTGATGCGTTGTTGGTGAAACTGAATATATACAAATATATAGATATCTGGTAAGGAGAGCTGAAGACACAAGGAAAAGGCGTTGTCCTGGAGGGGATCCCTGAGAAATGGGGGCGCCTGCCCTGCCCAGAACCCTTTTAAGGAAAGCATATGGGCAAAGCTTCCACAGACTGGGAGGAACAGCAATCAGCAGAGAGCTCAGGTGCTGGCAGGGGCTTCTAAAGAAAGGAGGGAGGGCGGTGGCAGGAGGAGGCGTTCGGTGCAGCAGGAACAGCCTAGGCAGAGGGCACGGGCGGTGGGAATGGCAGCACCATGGCAGGAAATCCGAGGACTAGTCACCACCGCTGAGATGTGTTCTGATGTCCCTGAGTCTCCATCCCTAAGAGACCTGAGAAAGTCGTCCTTCCGTGCAGCCTGGGAGGACTTCATAGAGCGAAGAGCAGAGGCAAAGGCTGGTGCGGAGAGTGACACAGCAGGGTCCAAAGCAGGACAGTTTGCTTGCAGGCTGGGTTGCCTGTAGCCAAAAAGAGACATAACTCTGAGAGGCAGTGAGACTGAATCACGTGGGTCCTTGAATGCCAGGATGAGATGGTCAGACTTCCAAGGGGCGCTGGCAGCTGAGGCGGGGTGATCCAAAGGGCAGGGGCGGTTTTGGAGCTGGGCTGCAGAAAGCCACATTTGTGTCTGGAGAAGGTGATTTTCCTAAAGGCAAGCCAGAGACTGATTTGCCAAGAGCAGGAGACGCCTCGTGCTGCACGATAAGGACCTGAATGTGGTGATGGGGATGGAAAAGCAGAGGTCAATGGGACAGGTGGTATGCAAGCCAGTGCCAGGGGATATGGGTGTGGCTCCTTTAATCACGTGGGGAAGCCCACTCAGTCTGCCTGGAGGAAGGGGGAGTTTCCTTAAGGGCAGAGATGAAGCCCAGCCAGGTCTTACAGAAACGAGGCTGAGAGCTGGGAATCATTAAGATTGGAGAAAGCTCCTCTTTCCATGTATGTGTGTCTCTCCTTTCTGCGACTCTACCCTGTCCTCTGTGGCTCCGGTTTCTGTTCCCTGTGACTTCATCCTGCACTGGTCTTCCGTTGCCCTGGAGCCAATTCTGACCTCTCATCTCTGTGACCTGGAAGCTCCTGTGTTCCACACTTCTGCTCACAGTTAAGGATCTTGACATTAAAATAACTGGCCGGCACTGGGCCATGAATACACTGGATCATGTGTCCACTCTTGGGTGAGGTCACCCAAGGCTGCCCCTTCCTGAGCTATGGCAAAGCAGATTAGTTCAGAAATTGACTGACAGGTTTGGTAGAGATGCCAAAGAGAAACAATCAAAGACAACAGTAGGGACAACTCATTCTTACTGGAAAACACTGGTGCACTTCACTGAAAGAAAAGCATGAACTTGGGCATTTGGTAAACTTCAACACCAGGTGTTGTTGTTGTTGTTGTTGTTGTTGTTGTTGTTGTTGTTGTTGTTGTTGCTGTTGAGACGGAGTCTGGCTGTGTCACCCAGGCTGGAGTGCAGTGGCTCAATCTTGGCTCACTGCAACCTCCATCTCCTGGATTCAAGCAATTCTCCTACCTCAGCCTCTCGAGTAGCTAGGACTACAGGCACCCGCCACCACACCCAGCTGATTTTTGTATTTTTAGTAGAGACGGGGTTTCACCATGTTGGCTAGGCTGGTCTCAAACTCCTGACCTCAGGTGATTCACCCACCTTGGCCTCTCAAAGTGCTGGGATTACAGGCATGAGCCACCACGCCTGGACAAGAGTTTTTAAAAAATCAACATCCCGTGGCCAGGTGTGGTAACTCATGCCTGTAATCTCAGCACTTTGGGAGGCCGAGACAGGTGGATCACCTGAGGCCAGGAGTTCAAGACCAGCCTGGCCAACATAGTGAAACCCCATCTCTAGCAAAAATACAAAAATTAGCTGGGAGTGGTGGCTGGCGCTTATAGCCCCAGCTACTTGGGAAGCTGAGGCAGGAGAATTGCTTGAACCTGGGAGGCGAAGGTTGCAGTGACTAACATAGCACCACTGTACTCCAGCCTGGGCAAAAAAAAAAAAAAATCACACATTATTCTCAATGAGAAATGTCAAAATTATTTTTAAACCAGAAGTATATATAGGATGACCTCTATCACTATCTCTATTCAGTATTATACTGGCAATCCTAGCCAGCACAGTAAGAGAAGAAAAAGAAAATGGACGTATAAAAAAGTGGAAAGCCAGAAATAAAACTCATTATGCAGGTGATATTCATATCTAATAGAAAACCAAATAAATCTGTAGATAATTTATTATACTAAGAGCTTATATAAAAATCAATTGCATTTTTATACAACAGCAGTTAGAAGGCATAATCTTTTAAATGTTATGTATAATTTTTAAAATAATACTATTTCCACTAGTAACAAAAAAATACAAGGTATCTAGGAAAAAGTCTTACAAAAGATGTGTAAGAAAAAAATTTAAAGACTTTATTATAATATATGAAGGACATAAATAAATACAAGAGTATAATGTGTTTTTAGAAAACTCAATACCAAATGAGGTCAATTTTTCCCAAATTGATTTCTAGAATCTATGTAATTCTAAACAAAAACCCCAATGGCCATATTTGAGGAACTTGATAAGCAGATGCTGAAATTTATCTGGAGGCTGGGCACGGTGGCTCATGCCTGTAATCCCAGCACTTTGGGAGGCTGAGGGGGGCAAATCACTCAAGGTCAGGAGTTCAAGACAAGCCTGGCCAACATGGTGAAACCCCGTCTCTACTAAAAATACAAAAATTAACCAGTCATGGTGGCATATATCCCAGCTACTTGGGAGGGAGGCTGAGGCAGGAGAATTGCTTGAACCTGGGAGGCAAAGGTTGCAGTGAGCCAAGATTGTGCCACTGCACTCCAGCCTGGGAAACACAGCAAAACTCCATCTCAAAAAAAAAAAAAAGAAAGAAATTTATCTAGAAAAGCAAAGGCCCAAGAAGAGTCAAGTAGCCATGACACAGGTAGGAAGAGGAGGATAAAGGACCTGATTTACCAGGTCAATATTTATAATGAAGCTACTATAACTAAGAGTGTGGTGTTGGCAGAAGGATACATAATAGACTAATGAAACAGGATAGAGAACCTAGAAGCAGCCTCAGAAAAATATGAAAACTTGACATCCAACAAAGGTGATTTTGAATACTTTATTAGTTCCCTATTGCTACTGCAACAAATTACCACCAATTTAGTTACTTAAAGCAATACACATTTATTATCAGGCAGTTCTGGGGGCCAGAATTCTAATGTGTCTGCAGGGCTGTGTTCCTTTTGGAGGTTCAAAGGAAGAATTCTTTTTCAGCTTCTAGAGCCAGCCTACATTCCTTGGCTTGTGACCCCTTCCTCCATTTTTAACGTGCATCACTTCAACCCCTGAGCTACTTCTGTCTTTACATTTCTCTGATTCTAACTTCTCTGCCTCCCTCCAATGAGGACCTTCTGATTATACTGGGATCACTACGTAATCCAAGATAATCTCCCCTTCTCAAGATCCTTAACTTAATCATACCTGCAGATTCCTTTTCTCCTTAAAAAGTAACACATTCACAGTTACAGAGATTAGTATGTGGACATCTATGGAGAGCCATTGTTCAGCCTACCACAAAGACCAACAGGGAAAGGACAGAAATGGTGCTGGGACAATTGGTTGTTCATATGGAAAAAACACAAAATTTATATTTTTAATACAAAAAATAATTTCAAAAAGATCACTTAAATGTGAAAATCAAAGTTTAATAGTTTTTGAAACTAATGTAGGAGAATGTTTTAACAACTTCGGTAGAGAAGGATTTATTAAATAATATATTAAAAATTGGAATCATAAAAGATTGGGCCGGGTACGATGGCTCACACCTATAATCCTAGCACTTTGAGAGGCCGAGGCAGGTGGATCACTTGAGCCCTGGAATTCATGATCAGCCTGGGCAACATGGCGAAACCTCATCTGAACAAAAACACAAAAACATTAGCCAGGCATGTTGATGCACACCTGCACACTGGTAGTTCCAACTACTCAGGAGGCTAAGGTGGGAGGATTGCTTGAGCCTGGGAAACAGAGGTTGCAGTAAGCCGAGATCACGGCACTGCACTTTAGCCTGGGGAAAAAAAAAAAAAAAAAAAAAAAAAACCTTCCAGAACATGAAGGCACATTTCATCGTCATTTTAAAACAAAAAAAGAATAAGAAGAAAAGAAAAGATTAATAAATGCAACTGCATTAAAATTTAGAAGCTCTATTTCATAAAAGACACTGTACAGAAAGTGTAAAGTCAAGCCACAAACTGGAAGAATATATTCACAACATTATAATCAACAAGGAAATCATATTCAGAATACGTAAGTATAAAAATCAATAAGAGGCTGGGCATGGTGGCTCATGCCTGTAACCCCAGGACTTTGGGAAGCCGAGGCAGGCAGATCACTTGAGGTCAGGAGTTCAAGACCAGCCTGGCCAACATGGAGAAACCCCGTCTCTACTAAAAATACAAAAATTAGCCGGGCATGGTGTCAAGTGCCTGTAGCCCCAGCTACCCAGAAGGCTGAGACACGAGAATCTCTTGAACCCGGGAGACAGAAGTTGCAGTAAGCCAAGATCATACTATTGCATTCCAGCCTGGGCAACAGAGTGAGACTCTGTCTAAAAAAAAAAAAAAAAAAATCAATAAGAAAAAGATAAACAACTCAATAGAAAAATGGACAAAAGACCAGTGGTCTGTAAATATGCTCAACCTCATCAGTAATCAGGAAAATGGAAATAAAGATGACACTTGAGATGCTAATTTATGTCTACCAAATTGGCAAAAGATTTCAAATCTGATTGTTCAAAGTGTTGGTGGAAAGATAGAGCAGTAGGGACGCCTTTAGCTACACATAGGAGTATAAATTGGCACAGTCACTTTGGAAAACAAGTTGACAGTATTTTAAACTGAATATGCACACATCCTATAGCCAGATATTTCACTCTTAGGTATCTATCTAGAGAAACTCTTGTACATATGCATGAGGAGATATTTACAAAATAGATCATAACAGAATTCTTTGAAATTAAAAATCTTCGGAGGGCCAGGCACAGTGGCTCACACCTGTAATCCCAGCACTTTGGGAGGCCGAGGTGGGCGGATCACTTGAGGTCAGGAGTTTGAGACCAGCCTGGCCAATATGATAAAACCCCATCTCTACTAAAAACGCAAAAATTAGCCAGGCATGGTGGTGCACGCCTGTAGTCCCAGCTACTCGGAAGGCTGAGGCATAAGAATCGCTTGAACCTGGGATGCGGAGGTGGCAGTAAGGGGAGATCATACAACTGCACCCCAGCCTGGGCAACAGAGTAAGACTCTGTCTCAAAAAATAATAATAATAATTAAAAAAAAATTCTGAGAACATTCCATATTTCCATGGATGGTCTACTGCATAGATAAACTGTAGAAATTTCATGTAATGAAATATTATCCAGCTGTGGAGATGGATGACCTACAGCTACATGTTGCAATAAAGATAAATCTCAGAAACATAAAAGTGAGTGAGGAAGAAAAAGAAATCCTTAAGAAGATAGCACATTATAAGGTACTATTTTTATGCATCTCAAAAACAGGCAAAACCGAGCAACATGTTGTTTACAGATCATGTTAGTCCATTTTGTGCTGCTGTAACAGAATATCTGAGGCTGGATTATTTATAAAGAACAAGAACTTATTTCTCACAGTTTTAGAGGCTGGGAAATCCAAGATCAAGGCACCAGCTGGTTTGGTCTCTGGCTCCAAGATGGCACCTTGCTGTGTCTTCCAGAGAGGAGGGACGCTGCATCCTCACATGGCAGAAGGTGGAAAAGGACAAACCCACTCCTGCTAGCCCTTTTTTCTTTTTCTTTTTTTTTTTTTTTTTGAGATGGAGTCTTCCTGTGTCACCCAGGCTGGCATGCAGTGGTGCAATCTTGGCTCACTGCAACATCCACCTCCCAGGTTCAAGTGATTCTCTTGTCTCAGCCTCCCAAGTAGCTGGGACTACAGGCGCACACCACCACGCCCAGCTAATTTTTGTATTTTTATTAGAGACAGGGTTTCACCATAATGGTCAGGCTGGTATGGAACTCCTGACCTCAGGTGATCCACCCCCCTCAGTCTCCCAAAGTGCTGGGATTACAGTCATAAGCCACAGAACCTGGCATGCTAGCCCTTTTTATAGCAGCATTAATCCAATCGTGAGGTCAGAGGCCGAATGACCTAAACACCTCCCATTAGGCCCCACCTCACATATTTTGGGAGACACATTTAGACTATTGCAGAGATATAGTCATGTTAGCTAACACTATTTTTAAAAGCATGAAAATGATAAACACAAAATTTAAGATAGTCGTTACCTCTGAAGAGTAGAGAGGGAGGCAGGGGTTGGCATAAGGGAGAGGCATGCTGCTCCAAATGGTCACATTCAAGAGCTGAAGTTTGGGGCAGGCTTGCCATGTTCACTATATTATCATTATAACTTACATATGTTATATGTTATATGTTATATGTAAGTTATAATGTTTTTTGTTTGTTTTTTTGAGGCAGAGTCTCACTCACTCTTGTCACCCAGGCTGGAGTGCAGTGGTGTGATCTCAGCTCGGCTCACTGCAGCCTCTGTCTCCCAGGTTCCAGCAAGTCTCTTGCCTCAGTCTCCCAGGTAGCTGGGATTACAGACACATGCCACTACACCTGGCTAATTTTCGTATTTTTAGTAGAGACGGGTTTCACCATGTTGGCCAGGCTGGTCTTGAACTCCTGACCTCAGGTGATCCACCCACCTCAGCCTCCCAAAGTGCTAAGATTACAGGTGTGAGCCACCGCGCCCGGCCTATTTTTTTTTTAAAGGTAAATCTTGATTCGTTAAAATTAAGTACTTACATTAAGCAAAAAACATCATTATTAGGCAAGCCAGTGACTGGGAGAACATGTTGTCAACACACATATCTGACAAAATATTCATATGCAAAATATATTTTAAAACACCTATATAGCAATTAAAAAACAACTCAATTAGAAAATAGGCAAATGGCTTGAACAAACACTTCATAAAGAAGATATCCAAATGACCAATAAGTGCATGAAAAAGTGTTCAACCTCATCACTCATGGGAGAAATATACATGAAAACCACAGTGAGATGCCACCACATACCAGACAGGACGGCTGAAATGTAAAAGTCTGACAATATTAAGTGCTAGCAAGGCTATGGAGCAGGTGGAAATTATCATTAATTGTCAGAGGGAGAGTAATCCATGTTTCTATTTCAGAAAACAGTTGGACAATATCCACTGAAGTTAAACATATGCCCAACTCCATGACCCAGAATTTCACTCCTATTTACCCAAAAGAAATTAGTGCATATAGCTATAAAAGACATGCATGCAACTGTTCATGAAAGCTTTATTCATATAGCCCCATACTAGAAACAATCTAGAACATATATCTATAAAAGACATACACGAAACTCTTCATGATAGCTTTATTCAGAATAGCCCCAAATTGGAAAGAAACTAAATGTTTACCAACAAGGTAAATAAATTGTGGTATATTTATTATACAATTAAAAAGAAGAAACTACTGATACAGTGACATGCATGAATCTCCAACATTATGTAGATCAAAAGAAGTCAGACACATACATGCTGTATGGTTCTATATATATGATGTTCTAGAGCAGGTGAATTAATCGATGATGGTAGAAGTTGTAATAGTGGTTGCCTTTTAGTGGGGAAAGGTCTTGCCTGAGAAGAAACAAGAGGGAAACTTCTGGGATGATGGAAAATGTTCTAGATATTGATCTGAGTGGTGGTTACATTGTGTATATATATGAAAATTTTTATTGAGTTGTACATTTAAGATTTGCATATTCTACTATATAGTGTTTTGTTTTTTTTTTAAGTCCACTAGTTCTCTCTTTCAAGCCAATTTCCCCTCCCCAGCATTCCCTGTATAAGAATTTTGGACTTCTTGACATTTGGCCTAAGGAAAGCCACTTGAATCACAGTGAACAAATATAGCAAAGACACTATTATTAGGAGCATAAAATGACTCACAGGGCCGGGCGCAGTGGCTCACACCTGTAATCCCAGCACTTTGGGAGGCCGAGGAGGGTGGATCACTTGAGGTCAGGAGTTCAAGACCAACCTGGACAATATGGTGAAACCCCGTCTCTACTAAAAATAAAAAATTAGCCAGACGTGGCGGCACATGTCTGTAATCTCAGCTACTCGGGAGGCTAAGGCAGGAGAATTGCTTGAAGCCGGGAGGCGAAGGTTGCAGTGAGGTGAGATAATGCCACTGCACTCCAGCCTGGGCAACAAGAGCAAAACTCCATTTCAAAAAAAAAAAAAAAATGGCTCACAGGATAAATAAGAAACCAGGTGACACAGTTGAGAGGAATGTATTTTGCTGAAGGAATGAAGATAAGTAGAACAGAAAAGCTGACTGCCTCATGAATTCATTTGTTTATTCCACAAACACTATTTGAACTTCGGCCACATGCAGACATCATGCCAACTTCTCCTCTAAGGATCAGGCCATCTGACTGATGACTCGGAAACAGAACTGGCTTTATCTTCCCCTTCATGTTGACTCAGTTTATCTCTGCTCCTGCCTTAGCCTCTCGCCCTTTCTTCTGTGGACCTTTTCCATCTCATGAGTTTAGCTGACTTGAATCTGACCATGGCCTGTGAATCTGTGAACCCTTCATTTTGGTTCTTCCTAATAAGTATCTGTCTCAGTCAGCTATAGCTGTGTAACAAAGTACACCCAAACTTGGTTGGTCAAAACAGCATTTGTTACTCATGATTCTGTGGAGTTTGGCAGAGCTCAGTGGGCATAGCTTATCCTTCTCCACATGGTGTCCTCGGGTGGTTCAACTAGGGCTGGAGGATCCAACACACCTCCCTCCCTGTGTGGGCCTTGAAATAGCTGTTATCTACCAATTCTCTCTGACTCTCTGCCCTCTTCTCAACAGCTCGTTAAGAATTGCCTGAACACATCCTCTCCTTTCCCATTGAGCTCTTGTAAAACTTTCAGATAGTGGCTACCACTGTCCCTATAACAAACATAAACAGGTACTAAAACCAGGATGCTGAGTTCCACACCAGCGTGAGGAGTCCTCTGTGTTTCTAAGAACCAGGCTTCAGGAAATGCACGGGGATTGTGTGCAGTCTAAGAGACTAAAGCTGGGCTAAAAATATTTTATTGTCATTGTTAAGAAAGAGAAAAAAAAACCCTATCTTGGGTAACCCCAGGTTAGATAAATAAATCAGTCGCTTCTCTTGACACTTTCCCACTCCACCCGGCTTCTTCCTGGATTTCCCATTCCGGCTAAATCTTCATAAATCCAAAGCCTCCGTGCAAACGGAGGTGGAGCAAAACAGAAATAAATGTCAAAGACTGCACAGACAGCATGCATCAGCCTCTGACCCAGCAGATTATTTCAGGAAACACCCACAGTGCTCAGACAGGAAATTCTGTGCACTTCAGAGCTGTGAGCTCACAGATGCAGGGAGCATTGCTGTTACAGTCCAGACTAGAAGAATTGAGGTAAAGCATGGACTGGGCCCTTATCTGCTAGCTGTGATCCTTGGGAACTTGTAGGCCACAGTTCCCACAGCTGTAAAAGAGGAGTGACAATGAATGAGACAGGGCACATAAACCACCTAGTAGGTATTCAGTAGACATTGGCTCCCACTTGGAGCATGGTGCAACCCAGCCCTGCAGAAAGTTGGCCCTGTCCATCCACTTCATCAGCTGTCATGAAACCAGGCCTGGCCGGGCATCGTGGCTCACACCTGTAATCCCAACACTTTGGGAGACCAAAGCAGGAGGATCACTTGAGCCCAGGAGTTCAAGATCAGCCTGGGCAACATAGTGAGACCCCATCTCTACAAAAAGTAAAATGTTAGTCAGGCGTGGTGGTGCATGCGTGTAATTTCAGCTACTCAGGAGGCTGAGGTAGGAGGATTGCTTGAGCCCAGGGATGTTGAGGCTGCAGTGAGCTATGATCACACCACTGCACCCCAGCCTGGGTGACAGAGCAAGACTCTGTCTTAAAAAAAAAAAAAAAAGGAAATCAGGCCTTTGTGGGCTGTCTGCACCTGGCACTGTTCCTTGTAAAGAGGTTGGTTGTTCTTTTTTTTCCCCATGCCAAGCTGTATACACCTGTGGCTCACCCTTAGTACATTATATCACCGTACTCATCATTTGACCAGATAGAAGAAGATTTGATTAAAATGCCATCATGTTAATTTGCTGTGTATGAGACACCTACATGCTCCGCTATAAACAATTCATACACTTCCAGGCAGTGTCCAGAGTAAACCTGTTGTTTCTTTACAAACTTCACACTGCCTTGAAAATTAGGTAAGAGTTTGTCTGTTCACACATTATGAACTCTTGATGCATAGACCTGGAAACCCAAAATTGAAACATAAACTCTTCTGTAAGTATCTAAAAATTGAAGACAGTCCAGGCACGGTGGCTCACAAACTGTAATCCCAGCACTTTGGGAGGCAGAGGCAGGCAGATCACTTGAGGTCTGGAGTTCGAGACCAGCCTGACCAACATGGAGAAACCCCGTCTCTACTAGAAATACAAAAATTAGCCAGGCATAGTTGTGGGCACCTGTAATCCCAGCTACTCTACTCAAGAGGCTGAAACATGAGAATTGCTTGAACCCGGGAAGCAGAGGCTGCAGTGAACCAAGATCACACCACTGCACTCCAGCCTGGGCGACAAAGCCAGACTCCGTCTCTAAATAAATAAATAAATAATTGAAGACTGCCAGGCACATTCTAAGTGCTCAGTAAATGTTCACAATTAAAATTAAAAACATTCCTCAGAACATCATCCGGGGCTGGAGAGGTGTGATCAGGCAGTCGTTGGAACAGTAACAGGTGCTGAAGTAAGATGGTTTGCTTTACTCCATTTTAGTTTCTCTTGTGTATGGGTTCTCTGCGTCACTCTTACAACCCTAAAAATAAATGCTATATTTAATATTAGTCCACTTTAACTATTTCTGTCTGGACATGGTGGATTGTGCAGTAATTCATGCTTACCATTTCAGAAACTGTTCAGTGATCCAAAGGTTAAATGCAGGATGTGGTTTCTGCAGACTCTGGCATATATACAGCGCATGTTCAGTGCAGGCGAGCTATTTTTATGAAAGCTATGCTTAAATTTTCTCCTTGGATGACAGTAACATAAAACAGAAGAAGTTAGAGTAGCAATATGTGCTTATGTAATATTTGGTTTGTCTTGTTTTATTTTCCATGGGGTGCTATGTAAGTACAGTACTGACAACTATAGTACTGAAACCCTGCAAATTTACTTTTTATTATTTCAGTTTAGTTACCAAAAATTATGTGATGCATCACATGACCAATCATGCAAAAATTCGTGCTTAAGTGCCTCAGAAACTTCTCCATGGTCTAAAGGTTCAACTCAGGATGTGGTTTCCACCCCAAAGCCAGTCCCAGCTGCCACTCACTTTATTTTTTTCTTTTTTTTTTTTAAGAGTTGGGGTCTCCGCCGGGTGCAGTGGCTCACACCTGTAATCCCAGCATTTTGGGAGGCCGAGGTGGGCGGATCACCCAAGGTCAGGAGTTTGAGCCCAGCCTGGCCAACATGGTGAAACCCTGTTTCTACTAAAAATACAAAAATTAGCCGGGCATGGTGACGTGTGCCTGTAATCCCAGCTACTCGGGAGGCTGAGGCAGGAGAATCGCTTGATCCCAGGAGGCGGAGGTTGCAGTGAGCCAAGATGGCGCCATTGCACTCCAGCCTGGGCATCGCAGCGAGACCCCGTCTCAAAAAAAAAAAAAAAAGGAGCTGGGGTCTCGTTCTGTCACCCAGGCTGGAGTGCAGTGGCACAGTCATGGCTCACTGCAACCTCAACCTCCTGGGCTCGAGCAGTCCTCCTTCCTCAGCCTCCAAAGAAGTTGGGACTACAGGATCATGCCACCATGCCTGATTAAATCTTTTTTAAATTATTTTTTGAAGAGACAGGGTCTTGCTATCCTACCCAGGTTTGTCTCAAACTCTTAGCCTCAAGTGCTCCTCCTGCCTCAGCCACCCTAGCCTCTGGGATTTTAGACACAAGCCACTGTGCCTGGCCCCTCACTTTCCTTTTATGGCTTGAGTTTTATCTCTATCGAAGTAATAAGTGTGCTTATCTTTAAAAATCAAACGTTTTACAGTGAAAATGCTTACAATTAAAAATAATGGTCCCCTAGCTCTGCAGTTCCCCATTGAGCTCTGTTCCTGGGAAGCACCCACTTCCAGCCCTGGCACCTGCTTTTTTTCTGCCAGTTGATTTAACTCCATATTTTTATTTTATTATTATCATTATTTTTATTTTATTTTATTTTATTTTTGAGTCGGAGTCTCGCTCTGTTGCCCAGGCTGGAGTGCATTGGTGTGATCTCAGCTTACTGCAACCTCTGCCTCTCTTCAAGCAATTCTCCTGCCTCAGCCACCTGAGTAGCTGGGATTACAGGCGCCCGCCACCACAGCTGGCTAATTTTTGTATTTTTAGTAGAGACGGGGTTTCACCATGTTGGTCAGGCTGCTCTCGAACTCCTGATCTTGTGATCCACCTGCCTTGGCCTCCCAAAGTGCTAGGATTACAGTCATGAGCCACCGCGCCCGGCCTTAACTCCATTTTTTTTTTTTCAAGTTGGAGTCTCGCTCTGTTGCCCAGGCTGGAGTGCAGTGGCACAATCTCGGCTCACTGCAAGCTCCACCTCCCGGGTTCACGCCATTCTCCTGCCTCAGCCTCCAGAGTAGCTGGGACTACAGGTGCCCGCCACCACGCCCGGCTAATTTTTTGTATTTTTAGTAGAGACGGGGTTTCACCGTGTTAGCCAGGATGGTCTCGATCTCCTGACCTCGTGATCCTCCTGCCTCGGCCTCCTAAAGTGCTGGAATTACAGGTGTGAGCCACCAGCCCGGCCAACTCCATATTTTTAAACAATATGCTTATACTGCTCTTTCTTGACTTTTCCATTGACTGTCTGCCCTAGAAGACTGGAATTTTCCTCTCCTGTGCTGCACACATATCTCCCCAATAAAGCTCTATCACAAGTTTCGGTGAGATCAATACTCAGTATTCAACATTCATGATTACAGCTGTGTAAATATTACCCAGTGAGCCATTTATACTATACTATGATTGCATTTATTTTCTCATGAAACTTTATTTCCTCTAGGTTAATAATTTGCTTATTTTTCTAAGTATTTATCTTCCCTTCATCACAAGGTGCCAATTGACTCAAGAATTGATTCCTAGAACACTCAAACCCGTGAGGTCCATTCTCTTAATATATTTTTCTTTACTATGTCTCTCCTGAAATTCTCCTGCTTCTAATGTCTCTCTTGGAACTTTAAGTGGTTTCATCCTTGCTATGAGGAATCAGAATTTATTTTAGCAATTGGTTGAGATAAAAATAAAAAGTTATTTTGAGATAGTTTCAGTAGGACACTGAGTATTCAAACATGAATAAAACCAACTTCCTGCCCTCAACAAACTTTATCTGAACAGGAAAAACCATGAAACAGAAAAATTCGGGAATGCGTACACAGAGGCTACAGGAGTGGCCACCCAGGAAGGACAGCATGGGGTCTCGGAACCCCCAGCTGCTGTGGGAATCAAGCAGACCTGGTTTCAAATTCTGATCCTGCCTGCATGTGACCTCAGGTGGCTAACCCAGACTCACGACACGGGATTTATTTCTCTGTAAAATGCAGATACCACCCACCCATCCTCCTAGGATGCTGGAGAAATTATGTCAGAAGAGTTACGTGAAAGCACTCAGCACACGCCAGACCCTTGACATGGTCATGCCCTCCCAATCTCAACAGTTGAGTCCAGGAAAAAACTCCTCAAATAAAACCCCAAAAGCCACATACCTTAGGATTTGTGCTGATTTTTCATTTCATATTGCAATTGTCCTCCCCAAAATCACCTTAAATTTTTTTTTAAGCACTTTCTTTCTGTTGGTATCAATAGCATTGTTACTTAGAAGGGGTCGGCAGAGGGTGCTGAATATTGAGTCATATCTGTTGCCTACTCTGTTGCCCAGGCTGTTGCCCTCACTCTGTTGCCCAGGCTGGAGTGCAGTGGCATGATCTCGGCTCACTGCAACCTCCGCCTCCCAGGTTCAAGCGATTCTCCCGCCTCAGCCTCCTGAGTAGCTGGGATTATAGGCGTGCACCACCATGCCCGCTAATTTTTGTATTTTAGTAGAGATGGGGTTTCACCATATTGGTTAGGCTGGTCTGGAACTCCTGACCTCAGGAACTCCAACCTCTGCCTCCCGGGTGATCCACCCACCTCAGTCTCCCAAAGTGCTGGGATTACAGGTGTGAGCCACCGCGCCCGGGCTTTTTAGTACATTCAAAGGCTTGTGACTAGGAAAGTAAAAAGCTCAGTCTCACTGGAAAGTGATAACTTCATTTCAGTACATCCCCATTTCAGAGCTCAACTCTCCAGTTTTGCAAATCAGAAATTCCTCGGGGTGGTTGTGAGAAAAACCCGCAGTAAAAATTCTGTTGTTTTCTATTCTCAGAGAAGTTTAGGTTTTCAATCAGGCGATCAGTTAGTGTTACTGGACAGCTAAAGGGATCATTTTCAAAGCACACCAATCTTCTTTACAGGTGGGCTTAGACTGTCTCACCTGCTGCTTCCTAAGTCTTGATTGTTAATCAGCGGACAATGGCTACATTCTCACAACATCTTTGCGCGGTTTGAGTTACTCCCCTGTTCCAGGTGTCTTTAAACACTTTAAATACCCTGAACAGACTAATTTGGATATTGACTGTTTTCACTATTAGCCACTCTTTTCTAAGATCATTTTATTATTTATGTATTTATTTAATTATTTTTGAAATGGAGTCTTGCTCTGTCACCCAGGCTGGAGTGCAGTGGCACAATCTCAGCTCATTGCAACCTCTGCCTCCTGGGTTCAAGCGATTCTCCTGCCTCAGCCTCCTGAGTAGCTGGGATTACAGGCACGTGCCACCATGCCCATCTACTTTTTTGTATTTTTAGTAGAGATGGGGTTCACCATGTTGGCCAGGCTGGTCTGGAACTCCTGACCTCAGGTGATCCGCCCACCTCAGCCTCCCAAAGTGCTGGGATTACAGGTGTGAGCCACCATGCCCAGCCATGTATTTACTTATTTTTGAGACAGTCTTGCTCTGTTGCCCATCCTGCAATGCAGTGGCACAATCTTGGCTCACTGCAGTCTCTACCTCCTGGGCTCAAGAGATCCTCACACCACAGCCCCTCAAGTAGCTGAGACTACAGGAGCACCACCATGCCTAGCTAATTTTTTTTAATTTTATTTTTAGTAGAGACAAGGTCTTGCTATGTTGCCCAGGCTGGTCTCGATCTCCTGAGTTCAAGCGATCCTCCTGCCTCAGCCTCCCAAAGTGCTGAGATTACAGGCATGAGCCACTGTGACTGGCTGAGGATTGTTTTAGAGAATCAAGACGTTCAGTAAACAGATCCAAGAACCATTCTTAATTTTGCTCATATTCCTAAAGAATGAAGGAGTGGGCTCATTTTAGCATTAACTCATTTGCATGATGCTTGTTGAAATATACATTACCTGTAAACCACACAGGAACTGTTAGCTATAGATAACATGGTTATTATATCCACTGCCTCTGGCAATAAAGAATACTAATCTGCTTCACAGAGGTCAGGTTTCCACTGAGCTATCAGGACTATTCTAACTAACCTAAGTGTGGATTTCTAGCTGCTCTTGAACGTAAGCAGGTCATCATTTAGATATGACTCAATATTCAGCACCCTCTGCTGACCCCTTCTAAATAACAATGCTAGTGATACCAACTTTTTGTCTGTTCATTTGTTTTCCTGCCTTTTTCAACTTATTTTTAATACACAGGAAATGAATAGGTATATTCTCATTTAAAAGAAGTCCAGGCTGGGTGTGGTGGCTCACACCTGTAATCCCAGCACTTTGGGAGGCCAAGGTGGGAGGATCACTTGAGCTCAGGAATTCAAGACCAGTCTGGGCAACAGAGTGAGACCCTGTCTCTACAAAAATAAAAAAAAATTAGCTGGGCGTAGTGGTGCATATGCCTGTAGTTCCAGGTGCATGCCTATACTTCCTATAGGTGGGAGAATCACCTGAGTCCAGGAGTTCTAGGCTGCAGTGAGCTATGATAGCACCACTGCACTCCAGCCTGGGCAACACAGTGAGACCCTGTCTCCACAAAAAAAAAAGAAGAAAAGAAGAAAAAAAGAAAGAAGAAAAAGAAGAAAGAAAGAAAGAGAGAGAGAAAGAAAGGAGGGAAGGACGGAGGGGAGGAAGGAAAGAAGGAAGGAAGAAAGAAAGAAAGAGAAATAAAGGAGGAAGAGAGAGAAGGGGGGGGAGAGAGAAATTAAGAAATCCAAATCAATACAGAATAAACACAATTTGCCTTGTATCTCCCTTCATCTCATCCCCCAGAAATAGTAACTATGAGTCTGATATTTAACCTTTCAGAATTTTTCCATCTATGCACTCACAAGCATGTATAGAAATTATATACATATACTTTAACTGATAGAACACACTGTACATATGACTATGCCACTTAAATTTCCCTCTTAAAAGTATGACTTTCTCTTTCCTTGTCAGCACAAGAACGAGCTCTTTCTTTTTACTGCTGTGTGATATTCCATGCAAAGAAGGACCACACTTTGTTCAGCAACAATCTCCTTACTCAGGGGCATTCAAGGAGTTTTCATTTTTCACTATTTAGATGTTGCAGAGAACATATTCATATTTATTCTTTGTGTACAATGCAAGTGTTTTCTCCAATGGATTACAAGAAATAAAATTTCTGGGTCAAAAGATACACATCTTTAAAATTTCAATAGATACCCTCAAGTTGACCTCTAAAAAGGCTGTCACACTGAGGGAGGATAAATAGGTGGAGTACAAAACATTTTTAGGGCAGTGAAAGTACTCTGCATGCCACTAACATGGTGGATAGATGTCATTGTACATTTGTTCAAACCCACAGAGCGTAGAAGGCCATGAGTGAGCCTGCTGTAAACTTGGACTCTGAGTGACAATGATGTGTCATGTTTACTGATTGTAGCAAATGCACGACACTGGTGCAGGATGTTGATCATGGGGGAGGCTGTGCATGTTGCAGGCACAGGGATACCTGGGAAATCTCTGCACCTTCCACTCAATTTTGCTGTAAAACTAAAACTACTCTAAAAAATAAAGTCTTTTTTTTTTTTTTTTTTTTGAATCTGAGTCTTGCCCTGTTGCCCAGGCTGGAGTACAATGGCTCGAACTCAGCTCACTGCAACCTTCACCTCCCTGGTTCAAGCAATTCTCCTGCCTCAGCTTCCTGAGTAGCTGGGATTACAGGTGTGAGCCAGCATGCCCGGCTAATTTTTGTATTTTTAGTAGAGACGGGGTTTCACCATGTTGGCCAGGCTGGTCTTGAACTCGTGACCTCGTGATCCACCCACCTCGGCCTCCCAAAGTGCTGGGATTACAGGCATGAGCCACCATGCCCGGCATAAAGTCTATTTTTTAAAAAGCTGTAACAATTTACACTCACACACAGTTTATGAATGTGCACCTGTGGCTCAACATCCTTACAAAGGAGATGGTATCAATCTTTTAAGATGTGTGATGTATTTAAAAACACTATAGGTCATTATTTGTAAAAATATTGAAGGGGGCTGGGTATGGTGGCTCACGCCTGTAATCCCAGCACTTTGGGAGACCGGGTGGGTGGATCACTTGACTCCAGGAGTTCATGAGCAGCCTGGGCAACATAGCAAACCCTGTTTCTACAAAACACACCAAAAAATTAGCTGGGGTGGTGGCACATGTCTGTAGTTCTAACTGCTTGGGAGGCTGAGATGAGAGGATTGCTTGAGCCTGGGGAGGTCAAGGCTGCAATGAGCCGTGATCACGACTCTGCACTCCAGCCTGAGAGAGTGAGACCCTGTCTCATTTAAAAAAATTACATTGACGGGGTTCCTACTATGTGTCAGGCCCTGTTCTGGGCACTGGAATTTAGCAGTAATGAAAGACATAAAGCTCCTGCCTTCATGAAGCTTACATGCTAGCAGATACATAATAAAAATATGCTATCTGGCAGTGAGAAGAGGCGGTGAGAGGTAGTCAGATTCTGGGCATAATTTGAAATGGAAGTGAGAGGGTAATAAATGAATTATATAAAGGGAGGTGGTGTCAAAATTGTTCCATGTTTGGTGCCTAGGAGCTCAATGAAGGGAACTGAGCTATGAAAGTCTCATGGGTTACATACAGATTGTTTGGGAGGGTCTCAGAGTATAGTTTCGACAGGAGTTAGGAGATGCCTGTAAGACATCCAAGGGGAAAGGGTGGATGGGCGCCTGGATGTGTACAGTTAGGAAAATGTTAGGATTGAAGCTACAAATTTGGGAGTCATCAACACATAGGTGGTGTTCCAAGTCATGAGTCTTGGTGGTCTTATGGGTTATTCCAAGCCATTAAGACCACCAAGAAGTGAGGGAGGGAAAAGAAGAGGCCACAGGCTGAGATCAGGGGTGTGCAGAAGCTTTTTTGCACACAGATGATGGGCTGTTTTCCTAATATAAAGGCAACTTGGTTGTGAGGTGTTCACTTTTTTTTTTCTTTTTTGAGACAGAGTCTCGCTCCGTCAACCAGGCTGGAGTGCAGTCGCGTGATCTCAGCTCACTGCAACCTCCACCTCTCAGATTTAAGCAATTCTCCTGCCTCAGCCTCCCAAGTAGCTGGGATCACAGGTACGTGCCACCACACCCGGCTAATTTTTGTATTTTTAGTAGAGACAGGGTTTCACCAGGCTGATCTCAAACTCCTGACCTCAGGTCATCTACCTGCCTTGGCTTCCCAAAGTGCTGGGATTACAGGTGTGAGCCACCGCGCCCAGCCACATTTTTATATATTGCTGTAATTTACTGGCTAACTTTTTATTAGCATTTCACGTCCAAGCCATGAAAGATTGGACTACAGTACAATCTTTCTTTCTTACAATGTCCACGTCAGGGTTTGGTGTCAGGGACAAATGGGTCTCATAAAATGGGTTGGAAAAGTATTTCCTCTTTTTCTATTTCCTTAAAGAGTTTTGTATAACACCGTTGTTACCTTTTTCTTAAAATGTTGGAAAACTCACCAGTAAAAGTAAATGGGCCAAGTGTTTTCTTTATAGGAAGGTGCATTCATCTGTTTTGCATTGCTATAAAGCAGTACCTGAGGGTGAGGATCTCACTCTTTCACCTAGGCTGGAGTGCAGTGGCTCAATCCGGGCTCACTGCACTTTCCACCTCCTGGGTTGAACTGATCCTCCCCCATCAGCCTCTCAAGTAGCTGGGACTACAGTTGCATGCCACCATACCCGACTAATTTTGTATATTTCATAGAGATGCGGTTTCACCATGTTGCCCAGGATGATCTCGAACTCCTGGGATAAAGTGATCCACCCTCCTCGGCCTCCCAAAAATACTGATATTAGAGGTGTGAGCCACCACGCTCAGCCTAGTTCTAATTTAAAAAAAAAAAAAAAAAAAATTATGGCTGGCTGTGGTGGCTCATGCCTGTAATCCCAGCACTTTGGGAGGCTGAAGTGGGCAGATCACAAGGTCACAAGTTCAAGACCAGCCTGGCCAACATGGTAAAACTTTGTCTCTACTAAAACTACAAAAATCAGCTGGGCATGGTGGCATGTACCCGTAATCCCAGCTACTCAGAAGGCTGAGGCAGGAGAATCACTTGAACCCAGGAGGCAGAGGTTACAGTGAGCTGAGATCAAGCCATTGCACTCCAGCCTGGGCCACAGAGCAAGACTCCATCTCAAAAAAAAAAAAAAAATAAGACTTAATTTTTTAGAGTAGTTTTAGTTTTACAGGAAAATTGAGTGGAAGGTGCAGAGATTTCCTAGGTACCTTCGTGCCCGCAGCATGAACAGCCTCCCCCATGATTAACATCCAGCACCAGCAAGTCTTTGTATGACAATGTGCTTTCGTTTGTCTTCAGTAAATACCTAGCAGTGAAATGTATGGGTGATATACAAAGTGTGTGTTTAAGAAACTGACAAACAGGCCAGGGCAGTGGCTCACACCTGTAATCTCAACACTTTAGGAGGCCAAGGCAGGTGGATTGCTTGAGCTCAGGAGTTCGAAAGCAGCCTGGACAAAATGGTGAAATCCTGTCCCTACAAAAAATACAAAAAATTAACCAGACGTCATGATGTGTGCCTGTAGTCCCAGCTACTTGAGAGGCTGAGGTGGGAGGATCGCTTGAGCCTGGGAGGTTGAGGCTGCAGTGAGCCAAGATCATGTCACTGTACTCCAGCCTGGGTTGCAGAGCAAGACCCTTTCTCCAAAAAAAAAAAAAAAAAAAAAAAGAAAAGAAAAAGAAAGAAGAAAGCAGAAAAGAAAGAAAGAAAAAAAAAGAAACTGGCAAAGAGTTTTCTGAAGTGGTTCTTCCACCTCACATTCCCCACCAGCAGAGTACAAAATTCCAATAAATCCATGCATTTACAATCAACTCATTTTCAACAAAGGTGCCAGGAACATACATTGGAGAAAGGACAGTCTTTTCAACAAATGGTGCCTGGTAAACCAGATATCCATATGCACAAGAACAAAACTAGACCCCTATGTCTCGCCATATACAAAAATTAAATCAAAATCGATTAATGATTTAAATGTAAGACCTGAAACTATAAAACTACTAGGAAAAGACATTGAGGAAATGCTTCAGGACATTGGTCTGGACAAAGATTTCTTGAGTAACACCTCAAAATCACGGCAATCAAAGCAAAAATGGGTAAATTGGATCAAGTGAAGCTAAAACACTTCTGCACAGCAAAGGAAACAATCAACAAAGGGGAGAGACAACCTACAGAATAACAGAAAATATTTGCAAACTATTCAACTGACAAGGGACTAAAATAACCAGAATACATAAGGAATCTAAACAACCCAATAGAAAAAATACAAAGAATCAGGTTTTTAAATGGGAGTACACCTGATTACACATTTTTCAAAAGAAGACATACAAATGGTCATCAGGTATATGAAAAAATGCCCCCCATTTCTATTAAAAAAAAATTTAGGTCAGGTGCAGTAGCTCATGCTTGTAATCCCAGCACTTTGGGAGGCTGAGGCAGGAGGATCGCTTGAGCCCAGGAGTACAAGACCAGCCTGGGCAACATGGTGAAATCCTGTCTCTATTAAAAAAAAAAAAAAAAGAAAAAAGAAAAAAGAAAAAGAAAAAAATGCTCAACATCATCGGAGAAACACAAATCAAAACCACAATGAGAGATCATCTCACCCCAGTTTAAATGGCTATTATCAAAAAGCCAAAACTGACGATGCCGGCAAGCCTGTCTCGGAGAACTGGTACACTGCTGGTGGGAATGTAAACTCGTACAGCCACTATGGAAAACAGGTTCCTCGAAAAACTAAATACAGAAGTGCAATATGATCCAGGAGTCCTGAAGTCATCCTCACAGGGTTAAGAAGAATTCTGGACAGAAATGGAGTTATAATCAGGCTGCACTTTGGTCCACATCCTTGTAACTGGAAGTCCCTGTAGCACCGTTGTCTGACTATTTGCATCCCCATTGTTCCTGCAGAGACAGAACTGATGTTAAAACCATGAGGCTATTGTTTAAGAATTGCTCAAGATGTTTTTCAGATCCCCAATTCCACCAAAACACCAGTTCAAAGACCCCCACAGAGGAATAGAATCAACATGAGAATCGTTTCTTCATCCTATCCTATGACTTCACCCTTCCCTCCTGGACCAATCAATGATCTCCACACTTCAGCTCACTCCGGAACCCTTAAATACCTTAGCCCAAACTCCTCAGAGAAATGCATTTGAACTTTCTTTCCATCTCCTCGTTCGGCAACCCTATAATTAAACCTCTTTATCTGCTGCAACCCAGAGAATATTAACATTCTCAGGGTATTAACTTGCTGGGTACATCAGGTAACAGACCTGTTAACGGTTTCAATCCCACTGTTGGGTATCTACCCAAAAGAAAGGAAATCATCATACTGGAGATATATCTGCACTCTCATGTTTATTGCAGCACTGTTCACAATAGCCAAGATATGGAATCAACAATTCCACTGTGTCTACCAACGGATAAATGGATAAAGAAAGGTGGTGGCCAGGCACAGTGGCTCACGCCCGTAATCCCAGCACTTTTCAGGGCCAAGGCGAGCGGATCACTTGAGATCAGGAGTTCAAGACCAGCCTGGCCAACACGGAGAAACCTCATCTCTACTAAAAATACAAAAATTAGCCTGGTGTGGTGGCACGCACCTGTAATCCCAGCTACTGAGGAGGCTGAGGCAGGAGACTCGCTTGGACCGGGGAGGCAGAGGTTGCAGTGAGCTGAGATCATGCCACTGCACTCAGCCTGGGTGACAGAGTGAGACTCCATCTCAAAAAAAAAAAAAAGAAAAAAGAAAAAAAGAAAAGAAAAAGAAAATGTGGTATAGATACACAGTGGAATATTATTCAGCCATAGAAAAGAATAATATTGCCAGGAACGGTGGTTCACACCTGTAATCCCAATACTTTGGGAGGGTGAGGCAGGAGGATAGCTTGAGCCTGGGAGGTCAAGACTGCAGTGAGCTGTGATCACATCACTGAATTCCAGCCTTGGCAACAGAGCAAGACTCTGTCTCGAAAAAATAATAATAAAAAAATAAATAAAATCCTGTCCCTTGCAACAACATGGCTGGAACTAGAGAACATTATGTTAAGTGAAATAAGCCAGGCACAGAAAGACAAGTGTCTCATGTTCTCACTGATGGGGGAGCTAAGAAAATTGATCTCTTGGAGGTAGATAGTAGAATGATGGCTACTAGATGCTGGGAAGCATAGCATTCAGGGAGGATAAAAAGGAGCTGGTTAATGGGTGATGGAACTAAAGCATGTGATTAGTGCTGCAAAAATATAGTTAGATTGTAGGAATAAGATCGAGTGTTTGGTAGCACAATAGGGCGACTATCATTAACAATAATTTATTGTATATTTCAAAATAACTACAAGAGTAGATTTGGAATGTTCCCAGCACAAAGCAATGCTAAATGTTTGAGTTGATGGATATTCTAATTACTTTGATTTGGTCATTACACAGTGTACGCTTGTATCAAAATATCACATGTACCCCATAAATATGTAAAACTAATATGTATCCATGAAAATTAAAAATTAAAAAGAGAAAGTTCCAGTTGCTTCACCTTTTTGCCAACGCTTGGTGTGGTCAGTCTTTTAATTTTAGACATTCTAATATGTATGAGTTATACACTATCATGGTTTTAATCTTTATTTCCCTAAAGACTAATGATGTTTAGGATTTTTTCTTGCACTTATTTATCTTGCTTATATTTTCTTTTGTGAAGTACTTGTTTAAATATTTTGCCTACTTTTTTTTTTTTTTTTTTTGAACTGGAGTCTTACTCTGTTGCCCAGGCTGGAGTGCAGTGGCACAATCTCAGTTCACCGCAACCTCCACCTCCCAGGTCCAAGCGATACTCCTGCCTCAGCCTCCCGAGTAGCTGGCATTACAGGCGTGCGCCACCATGCCCGGCTAATTTTTGTATTTTTAGTAGAGATGGGGTTTCGCCAGGTTGGCCAGGCTGGTCTCCAACTCCTGACCTCAGGTGATCCACCCGCCTCAGCCTCCCAAAGTGCTGGGATTACAGGCGTGAGCCACCATGCCCGGCCAATTAAATGCTTTTTGTGCAGTCACTGAGAAGGCCTCATGATTTTCCTCACTTATGTGATAAGTTACATTTGTTGATTATTCTAATGTTAATTCACCACTGCATTCTGTGATAAATTCAACTTGGACATTGTATTAGCTTTTTATATATTTCTGGACTCAATTTTCTAACATATTGTAAAGGAATTTATTATCTATGGTTATTAAGGAGATTACCCTGAAATTTGTCTTTCTCTTCTTGTCCTTTTCTTATTTTTATCGTTATATAGCCTTCATTGAATATTTAGGGGAGTTTCTGAGTTCCCTCTTTTTCAATGCTCCAGAAGAATTTGTATAAGATTGAAATTATTTCTTGATAATTTAGTGGAAATAACTTTCAAAACCATGGACTTTGTGTCCTGTGTGTTTAGAAATCTTTTAATAATACTGATTCAATTTCTTTAGAAATTGTAAAACTCTATCCCTTTTTGTGTCGGGTTTTTTTTTTTTTTTCTTTTTTGAGACAGTCTTGCTCTGTTACCCAGGCTGGAGTGCTGTGGCATGATCTTGGCTCACTGCAGACTCTACATCCCAGGTTCAAGGGATTCTTGTGCCTCAGCCTCCCAGCT
Source organism: Homo sapiens (assembly GCF_000001405.40). Taxonomy (NCBI): domain Eukaryota; kingdom Metazoa; phylum Chordata; class Mammalia; order Primates; family Hominidae; genus Homo; species Homo sapiens. The sequence continues at coordinate 86,426,566 of NC_000010.11, forward strand.
AGTTGGGATTACAGGCGTGTGCCACCACGTGAAGCTAATTTTTGTATTTTTAGTAGAGACAGAGTTTCACCACGTTGCCCAGACTCGTCTCGAACTCCTGATCTCATGTGATTCACCAACCTCAGCCTCCCAAAGTGCTGGTATTACAGGCATGAGCCACCACATCTGGCCAGGTTTTTCTTTTTTGCTATATTATTCTAGGAATTTGCCCACTTCATTTAAGTCATAAATTCATTAGCATGCATTTATTCAGAGTAGTTAGTTAAAACTTTTTTAATCTCTAGTGTTTCTGTACTCATATATTGTCTTTTTAATATTTATTTATTTCATACAGGATAGCATGTATTGATTTTTTTTTCTTTTGAAATGGAGTTTCGCTCTTGTTGCCCAAGCTGGAGAGCAATGGGGCAATCTCGGCTCACTGCAACCTCTGCCTCCTGGGTTCAAGCAATTCTCCTGCCTCAGCCTCCCAAGTAGCTGGGATTACAGGCATGCACCACCACGCCTGGCTAATTTTTTGTAGTTTTAGTAGAAACAGGGTTTCACCATGTTAGCCAGGCTGGTCTCGAACTCCCAAGCTTGTGATCTGCCCGCCTCAGCCTCCCAAAGTGCTGGGATTACAGGCGTGAGCCACCACGCCTGGCCCACATGTATTGATTTTTATACTTACTTTTGTAATTTGTATTTTATTCCCTCCTTCTTGGTGAGTGTACTCAAAATTTAGACTTTTCAAAGAATCCATTTTTCACCAATTTTAAAAAATTTGCCATTATCTTCTTCCTTCTACTTATTAAGAGTTTATTCTATTGCTCTTACTCTGTCATTAAGATGAATAATATGTACTTTACAATTTTAGTCATTCTGTCTTTCAAATATAAGCATTTAAAGATAAAAATTTTGCTGTATCCCGTAACTTTTTTTTTTGTTTTTTGAAACGGAGTTTTGTTCTTGTTGCCCAAACTGAAGTGCAATGGCACGATCTTGGCTCACTGCAACCTCTGCCTCCGGGGTTCAAGCGATTCTCCTGCCTCAGCCTCCCAAGTAGCTGGGATTACAGGCATGTGCCACCACGCCCGGCTAATTTTGTATTTTTAGTAGAGACAGGGTTTCACCGTGTTGACCAGGCTGGTCTCGAACTCCTGACCTCAAGTGATCTGCCCGCCTCAGCCTCCCAAAGTGCTGGGATTACAGGCGTGAGCCACCGTGCCCTGCACCATGACTTTTGATATATTTTATTTTCATTGTCATCCAGTTCTAATTTATTTTTTAAATTAAAATTTTTATTTTTTTGAGACAGGGTCTCACTCTTTCACCTAGGCTGGAGTGCAGTGGCTCAATCAGGGCTCACTGCAATCTTCGACCCCTGGGTTCAAGTGATCCTCCCCGCTCAGCCTATCAAGTAGCTGGGATTACAGGCGCGTGCCACCACACTTGGCTAATTTTGTATTTTTCATAGAGATGGGGTTTTGCCATGTTCCCCGGGATGGTCTCGAACTCCTGGGCTGAGGTGATCCACCCGCCTCAGCCTCCTAAAAGTGCTGAGATTACAGGTGTGACCCACTGTCACCAGCCTAGTTCTAATTTAAAAAAAAAAAAAAAAAATTATGGCCAGGTGCGGTGGCTCACGCCAGTAATCCCAGCACTTTGGGAGGCTGAGGCGGGTGGATCATTTGAGGTCAGGAGTTTGAGACCAGCCTGGCCAACCTGTGAAACCCTGTCTCTACTAACAATACAAAAATTAACTGGGCATGATGGCATGCACCTGTAATCCCAGCTACTCGGGAGGGTGAGGCAGGAGAATCACTTGAACCCAGGAGTTGGAGGTTGCAGTGAGCCAAGATCATACCACCGCTCTCCAGCCTGGGTGACTGAGCAAGACTCCGTCTCAAAAAAAAAAAATAAAAATAAAAATAAATTATAATTGATTTAACCCATGAGTTATCAGGTTGTGTTTTTTACATTTCTAAGCATATAGAGGTTTTCATTTAACTGCTTATTACTGTCTTTTAAATAAATTGTTCTGAATGTTTTCACCTTAGATAACATTGCCTGTTCTACAATTTTGTATAAATTGATGCATATTATAGGTCTCAAACTCGTGGTCTCAAGCGATCCTCCCACCTTGGCCTCCCAAAGCACTGGGATTACAGGTGTGAGCCACTGCACATGGCTGTATTATATGTATTTTGAAAATTCAGCTTCTTCCACTGAGCGTTATGAATGTGAAATTTCTTCATGTTGTTGATTTAAAAAGTAATTCGTTCCTCTTTATTACTAAGTAGTATATTATTGCATAAATCTATCAATTTGTTTATTGTCTGCGGACGGACATTTGAGTTGTTTCCAGTGTTTGGCTATTTGTTGATAAAATGACTGTGAACATTTTCCACAACTTTTTCTGTTGAATATTTTCATTTCTTCTGGATAAAGTGAAATTGTTAGGTTGAAGAACAGATAAATATATATATAATATATATTATATATATTTTATATATAAATATATAAAATATAATATATATTATATATAAATATATAAAATATAATATATATTATATATATAAAATATAAAATATATATATATATATATTTTAGCTGTGGCCCAGGCTGGAGTGCAGTGGTACAATCATGGCTTATTGTAGCTTCAACCTCCTGGGCTCAAGCAATCCTCCTGCCTCAGATGGGACTACAGGCATGTGCCACTATGCCCAGCTTTTATCTATCTATCTATCTATCAATCTATCTATCTATCTATCTATCTATCTATTCATTGGCAAAGATGAGGTCTCACCACATTACCCAGGCTGGTTTTGAACTCTTGCCCTCAAGTGATCCTCCTGCCACGGCCTCCCAAAGTGCTGGGATTGCAGGCATGAGCCAGTGCACTCAGCCCAGACAGGCATAACTTTATTCTCACAAGGAATTGACAAAACTCGTCCAAAGTGGTGTTATGATTTTACATTCCCAACAGCATTAAAAAAAAGTTCCAGTTGTTGATGTGCCACCATTTGGTGCTGTCATCTTTTGAACTGGCCATTCTACTGAATACACAATAGCATCTCATTGTAATTTATGGGTTTTTTTATCTTTTTTTTTTTTTTTTTTTTTTGAGATGGAGTCTCACTCTGTCTCCAGGCTGGAGTGCAGTGGCAAGATCTCTGCTCACTGCAACCTCTGCCTCCCGGGTTCAAGCAATTCTCCTGTCTCAGCCTCCCCAGTAGCTGGGATTACAGGTGCATGCCACCACACCCAGCTAATTTTTGTATTTTTAGTAGAAACGGGGTTTCACCATGTTGGCCGGGATGATCTCAATCTCCTGACCTCGTGATCCACCTGCCTCGGCCTCCCAAAGTTCTAGGATTACAGGCATGAGCCACCACACTTGGCCACTTTTTATTTTATTTATTTATTTATTTTTGAGATGGGAGTCTCCCTCTGTCACCCAGCCTGGAGTGCAATGGCACGATCTCGGCTCACTGCAACCTCTGCCTCCGGGGTTCCAGTGATTCTCCTGCCTCAGCTTCCTAAGTAGCTGGGATTACAGGCATCTGCCATCACGCCCGAAGAATTTTTGTATTTTTAGTAGAGATGGGGTTTCACCATGTTGGTCAGGCTGGTCCTTGAACTCCTGACCTCGTGATCCACCTGCCTCAGCCTCCCAAAGTGCTGGGATTACAGGCATGAGCCACCACGCCTGGCCAATTTTTATTTTATTTTTGAGACGAGGTCTGGCTCTATCTCCCAGGCTGGAGTACAGTGGCATGATCTCCACTCACTGCAGCCTCCATCTCCTGGGCTCAGGTGATCCTTCCACCTTAGCCTCCCAAGTAGCTGGGACTACAGGCACAGGCTGTCACGCTCAGCTAATTTTTTGTGTTTTAGTAGAGACGGGGTTTCATCATGTTGCCCAGGCTGGTCTCGAACACCTGAGCTCAGGCAATCTGCCTGCCTCAGCCTCCCAAAGTGCTGGGATTACAGGCCTGAGCCACCACGCCTGGCCTCGTTCTTTCTTTTTGTAGTAGCTTTATAGTTTTAGCTTTTACATTGAGATCTATGATCCATATGGAATTAATTTTTATGTTTAGCATAAGGTAAGGGTCAAGATTTTTTTTTTAAATATGGGTATTCACTTGTTTCATAACCATTTGTTAAAAATATTTTAATTTCTACATTAAATTGCTCTGGTGCCTCTGTCAAAAATCAGTTGACCGTGTATCTGTTGACCTATTTCTAGGCTCTGCCTTCATTGTATTGATCTTGTCCTCATGCGAATACATGGTCTTGACCATTGTGGTTTTATCGTGAAACTAGAAGGTCAATAGTGTATGTCCTCCAGCTTTGTTATTCTTCAAGATTATTTTTACTATTTTATGTCCTTTGCATTTCCAGGTGAATTTTAGAATCAGCTTGTCAATTCTACTTTTATACAAAGTAGAAGTGTTGATATTGGAAATTTCTGCCTTGTTTTTGATCTTCAGAGGAAAGCATTCAGTGACTCATCAAGTTCAATTATTGTACACTTTTCATACCTGCTCTCTTCTGAGGGCGGGGATCAAGATTAGTTCCTATTTCTTTCTCTTTTTTTGAGACAGGGTCTCATTCTGTCACCCAGGCTGTAGGGCAGTGGTGCAATCACACCTCACTGCAGCCTCGACCTCCTGTGCTCATGAGATTCTCCTGCCTTAGTAGCTGCTAGTAGCTGGGACCACAGGCGCACACTACCACACCTGGCTAATTTTGTATTTTTTATAGAGACAGGGTTTCGCCATTTGCCCAGGCTGGTCTCAAACTCCTGTGCTCAAGCAATCCACCTGCCTTGGCCTCCCAAAGTGCTGGGATTACAGGCGTGAGCCACTGCGTTGTTGCTTGTTTCTTAACCATGAATAGGTGTTGCATTTTGGAAAATGGTTTTTCTGTATCTAAAGGATAATAAACCAATTTTACACTCCTTTGATAAATACCTTGTTGTGATGTATTATACTTTTTACATAGTAATGGATTTGATCTTGTAATACTTTGTTAAATATTTTGCATCTATAAAAATGTTGCTATTTTTTTTCCTTGCAATATCTTTGCGCTTTGTATTGGAGATATATAGGTAAGGCTTATACACTGATTTGGTAAGTATTCTCTTCTCTACTTTCTGTGTAAATGGATATTAATTCTTCCTTGTGTTTCATGTAATGCATCAATGAAGTCTTCTGGGACAGGACTTATATGTAGATTTTAAAGTACAAATTCAATTGTTTTGAATATAGGGCTAATGAGGCTTTCTGTTTCTTGAATTAGTTTTGGTAAGTTTGTTTTGCAAGGAATTCGTTCATTTAATTTGTAAAATTTACTGGCTTAAATTATTCATAAAATTCTTTATCTGACCGGGTGTGGTGGCTCACGTCTGTAATGCTTGCACTTTGGGAAACCAAGGCAGGAGGATCAGAGCTAAGTAGTTCAAGACCAGCCTGAGCAACAGAGTAAGACCTTGTCTCTATTAAGTAATAAAAATATTTTAATTATAAAAATTTTAAAATTATTTATCCTTTTAGGCCTATAGCATCTGTATTCCATCTTTTATTTCTGACGTTGATAATTTGTGTTTTTTTCTTTCTTGATTAGTCTTGCTAAGGATTTATCAGTTTTATTAACTACAAAGAATCATCTTTTGGCTTTGGTAAAATTTTTCTATTACTTGTCTTTTATTATATTAATTTCTGCTCATATTTTTTTCCTTGAACTTACTTTAGGTTTAATTGTTCATCTAGCTTCACATAGAAATTAGGATAATTTAAGCCTTCTTAATTTTCCTCTAAGCACTGCTTTAAGTGTATTCCACAAATTTTGATATGTTGCATTTTGTCATTCAGATCATTAAACTTTCTAATTCCCCTTCAAAGACTACTAGGAAGTGTATTATTTTTCAAAGTTTTCTAGATCTGTATTGACTTCTGATTTAATTCCTTGGGGTGAAGATATATCCCCTTTAAGATTTCAATCATCTTAAATTCATTGAGACTTGTTTTATGACCCATCAGATGGTCTGTGAAAATTTTTTGTGCAGTTGAAAAATATGCTCCGTGTAATGTTTTATAACTGTCAATTACGTCGATAGTTGATACTGTCATTCAGAACTTCTCTATCTTTACTGATATATATCATATATATATGTATCCTATTAATTCCAAAGGGTGAAATATCAAACTATGATGTGACTTTTGTCTATTTCTCCTTTAAATTTTTAACTGCATGTAGTATAAAAGGTCTATCAGGTATTAGATGCACAGGCAGAATTGTTATTTCTTCCTGTTAGAGACCCTTTCCCCTTAACAGATCTGGTAATATTCCCTTGTCTTAAAGTCCATCTTGTCTGATAATACAGCCACTCCAATTTTGTGATTAGTATTTGCATGGTACATCTTTTCCTATCCTTTTGCTTCCATATCATTTGTATATTTGTAGTTAGTGTCTCTTGGCTGTTCAGTTTGACAATCTCTGCCTTTGTTTAGTGTATTTACATTTAATATAATTATTCATATCATTAGGCTTAGTGGACATCTTTGGCTTGTTCCTTACAGGGAAGTGTTTTTTGCTTATTTCTATTCGTCCTGCTTCTCGTTTTCTACTTTTCTTGTTTGTTTTTGTTAGTTACTCCTTCCCTGCCTTCCTTTGATTAATCAAATATTTTCCAGTGTTCCTTTTAATTTCCTCTGGCAGCTCTAGCTATATGTGTCTGCATTATTTTTTACTCGTTACTCTAGGGGTTATGATAGGCATCTTTAATTTAGGACAATCTACTTAATATTAACAATTTTTGCAAGAGGATAGTTTCATTTACCTACATTTGCTATAATACAATTCTAGATAGCAAGACAGGTTCTTATGACTAATAACTAGGCAGTATATAGTTTTATAAACTATACTAGGCAGTATATAGTTTTATAAACTCAGCTGGCTCCTTACGCCAGTACATGGCATTTGGAGTATTCAAACTGCACACAAAGGTTAAACAGGGAAAGAGGTTTGACAAAAACACTCAGTATTTATTCAAATTCTCTGTTCAAAGACATTACCCATAAAGTTATGCATCTACACATCCAATGTCAGGAGACCATGATAGTGAATTGTGCAAGCCTCTTTCAAGACTTTCTTCTACATCCAAGAAAAAACCTGAAGGACATACTTAAAATACTTTTTGAGACGGAGTCTCGCTCTGTCACCCAGACTGGAGTGCAGTGGCACAATCTTGGCTCACTGCAACCTCTGCCTCCCAGGTTCAAGTGATTCTCCTGCCTCAGCCTCCCAAGTAGCTGAGACTACAGGTGCACGCCACCAGGCCCAGCTAATTATTGTATTTTTAGTAAAGACACGGTTTCCACCATGTTGGCCAGGATGGTCTCGATCTCTTGACCTCGTGATCCACCCACCTCGGCATCCACCCACCTCGGCCTCCCAAAGTGCTGGGATTACAGGCATGAGCCAACGCGCCCCAACCCCATGCTTAAAATACTTTAATGATTACTGAAGTTTGTTCAATTCCCTCGTTTATTAGTCATTAATATTAACAAGATCAATTTGAAAACAGCAATTGTAGAATTGCCGTTAAAGTAACCCAAGCCCCACTGACCTCAGTAATATAACAATATGCTACTCCATTGTTGTTTAGAATATTTCACCTTCCTGATACAAAATAGTGAAACGATAAAAGCTACCATTGCCAAATTAAGGTTACTTATTTTTATTTATTTTTTCAGATGGCATCTTGCTGTGTTTCCCAGGTTGGAGTGCAGTGTACAATCTCAGCTCAGTGCAACCTCCGCCTCCTGAGTTCAAGCAATTCTCCTGCCTCAGCCTCCCAAGTAGCTGGGATTACAAGTGTGTGTCACTACACCTGGCCAATTTTTGTATTTTTATTAGAGACCGGTTTCACCATGTTGGCCAGACTGGTCTTGAACTCCTGACCTCAAGTGATCTGCCCGCCTCAGCCTCCCAAAGTGGTGGGATTACAGGTGTGAGCCACTGTGCCCAGCCATCCTAAGTTTAGAATATTGTGCTAATGCTTCACATGTACTTACTTTTCACAACCATGAGGTAGGTACTATCCCTGTTTTTCCTGTTTTGAGGAAACGGGCTTAATGGTTCAAGAATTTACTCAAAGTCAATAAGCATGTATCAGAAAAAGGATTCAAATTTTCTGTGTGATTTGTCTTTCTATATCCATAGCCTGCATCCTGAAACCACTCTTACTCATGTTTAAGTGGGGAGAGTAATGGAAACTCCCAGGAGAGATCCTTCAATCTAGTTTTGTGGCTAAAAGCAGTAAGGAGAAGTTGAGGAATCTACTTGTAAATGCAGGATGCCTAAGGGCTGACAATTAAGAAGAAAACTGAAAAACTAAAAAGCAGTGTAAAACCTCAGAAGCAAAGATGTCTTGGATCATACTCATAGGAGCAAAAAATAACCTAAATCAAAACAGTTAAGTATGCCAAGGGCCTAACTGAAAATCCAGTCCCTAATTGGCCTGAGTTGTTGAGTTCACATTATATTCAGATGAGTATTATTAAAAACATGGAGAAATAATAAAATATTTAACAAAAACTGGTTAAATGTGTTAAGTGATAGTGTATTTCCCATTAGAGTCGGCTATATATAAAGTTTGTGACACTTCTGTCCTCCAATAGACTTATGTTAAAGACAACATGTGTATTGAAAGTAGCAATTTTATTTGAGTTAAAATTATTTACAAAAACCCAAAGACATACTTCATGAAACTGGTACAAACTATTTTTTCCTGCCGTTGGCTTTTGCTCCAAAGATCACAGCTGAGAAATACTGTATAAAATAAAAATAGGATTGGATTCAGAAAAGTACTCTACTGTTCTAATTTCCAATTGGTAGTATTTACAGAAATATTTACAATGGAAAAAAGGTTACTTTAAAACTTTTAGTTAAGTCAGCCTCAAGTACCCTAAAATGCAGAGTTCTCTGAGGGTTAAAAACACACAAATGCACTGCAGTTGGTGAAGTGATTATCTCCCCCACCACCTCCCCCCACCAAAATCTGCATCTCTATCAGTGCTCGACAATTAGTTATTATTTAAAAAACAAAACAAAACAAAAAACTGTTAAACACTGAGGTAAATCAATTTTCAAATGATTACCAGTGTAACAGAAAAATGCAGTTCGCCCTGATTGTTCTCATCCAAATGTTTTATAATATTCCTTACCATCTGCCACAAGTCAGGTTCACCAAAAATCTGTCCCTTTCCCTAAATCCAATGATTAATAAATATCAATGTATTTTGCATTTTAAAATAAAATATAACTAATTTAATTTTACGGGTATCATTTACCAATATGTTTTTAAAAGTATTTTGCTAAGCTAGCTTTAATACTCAGGGCAAATACAATCTCAATGGTTCCCACGTTACACTGGCGTACTATGTTCTTAAAAGGTGATGGGTAGGGGTTGGGGTGGGTAGAAGGAAGAAAACAATTTGCCTGGAATCAGTTACTTCCTTACAGATTTCCCAACAATCTGCATTATCAAAAATAGGAAGACAATAGAAGGCAGCCACTGCATTTAAAAACATTACAGCTGGCACTGATACAAGAGCCCCGATTTGTCACTTTATACAAGGAAATAACAAAGTCTAAATGGGTAAAAATTAGACTTTTAGCTATTTTCCCCAATACACACCAAACTAATATTTTTATGGCTTCAAGTTTTACAAATCCAATGAAGAAACATGATGTAACTACCTGAAAGGTATTTAAAAGTATTAATGAAAAAGATCTCTAGAAAGCCTGTATTCAGGCCCAATCAATAAAAAAGGAAAAAAAAAAGTATAACCAGTGGTGTGAATAATACAAGAAAAATTTGCAATGTTATGATATTAAATCTATAAAATGTTTTGTGTTCCATAACTGTTTTTCAAATAACTGCTCTACGAACAAAGAATCTGAATGAAAAAAGGGTCTTCTCTAAACCAGCAATTTAAGGCTTTGCGCTTATGCAATTGATCCTGTCACTCTATAGAAGAATATACATGTTATCTGGAAACAGGAATTCCACATTGGTGTTTTAGCTTCCTTATATTTATTGTACTGAACATTAGAAAATATATCTAGAGAGTCTTTCCTCAAAATCTAATAATGTTTTAAGAGCCTCCCTAGCATTAAGTGTAAACTACCCTGGGTTTGACTATTTTGCCTCCTCCTTTTAACAGGGCACATCATCTTATATAATATTCTCTCAAACTGTTGTTTTTCTTGTGCCTATAGCTATGACACATTATGGTATGATATTGAATATGGTTGTGGTCTCAAAAGTAAAAAATAGTTCAATAACCCAAACCTAATCAAGAATAAAAAAATATACTATTAATCCCGTGTATCTTTGGATTCCATCTAATTTTAAATATAGACAGTAGTTCAGGGAACAACAACCAAAAAATTCACAAAATTATTAAAAGCTTTATTTACGATTGGAATCATTCAACAAAAAAGCAAAAGCAAATGAGCCTGAAAAAGGAACTAAGCTGTTGTCTAGAATGTCCTCAGAACATTCGCTACCTCAGTAGCTAAGCTGCCTTTGCACCTGGCTGGCATGACAACAGTGGCTCAACATACACAGCAGTTGCACTAACAGCAGCACAAATTTTCCCCTTCAAACTTGCCCAGAATAAAGCAAGAAAACAAGGGGAGGGTATAAACTCTGCCAAAGTAAATGTATTTAAATACTGCATGGAATTGTTAACAGCCTGAACCTTTTCCCCTCATTTTTGATAGTTGCAGATTGATGTAGTAACTGTCATTTAGCAAATGCCGAATGCATGACGAAGAAATCAGGTGGCCTTAAAAATCCAAACACGAATGATACTGATGAATGTTCTTGGTATATCTTCAAGGACTTCTTTCATGACTTGACTTTTCTTTGTCTAAGGATAGCTCCAGCATTACCGAGCACCTGAAGCAAAGGTAAAGCAGCTAGCAATGTTCCAAATATTCAATCACTCTAGAGATAGATTTCTGGCCAGTTGTTCCAACAGCACACTGAAAGCAGGGTGAAGGGGAAAGGAAGTAACAGTTAATATTTAACAGATTTTAAGAAGTATAAATAAAAGTTTACCTCTAGATTTACTAAACTGAACACTACAAATCAAAGTACACCGAGATTAAATTGTGGGTTTGATAAAGTTATTTGCCATAACATGCAATGATTACCTTGAAGAAATAGAACACGATTATTAAAATTAAAAGAAAATCCCTTTTTGCTCCCACTTACTATGGCCATAGTATTTTTATGTCTACTGTCAATGTATTATAAATTTAAAATCATATAAGCTGTAATAAAAGCTACTTACAGTGAGATTCATAAAACTCAAAAATTTTTTGAGCATCTCTGTCATTATTGAAAAGTCTCCTTCTGGCAGATATTCCCGCACAGTGGTTACATTGATCTGAGGAAACAGAGCAAGAAATATTGGTCAGCTGGCAGAAAACATGAGATTGCACCTCGTACAATGTTGTTGGTTTTGACACACATCTTGGTGCAAATTTTTAAGATCCTTGGAACACGTGGTTATTTATTCTCTTTCCACACTCACTCTGCATGTGATTTCCTACCTCACCCTCAGAAAGAAAGGAGAAAGGTAAAGTTGGCAAAAGCTACAAAGAAATATTTGTGTACACATTTACTTTTTTTTTTTTTTTTTTAAATGAAACAGTCACTCTGTTACCCAGGCTGGAGTGCAGTGGTGTAATCTCAGCTCACTGCAACCTCTACCTCCTGGGTTCAAGTGATTCCCATGCCTCAGCCTCCCGGGTAGCCGGGATTAAAGGCACGTGCCACCATGCCTGGCTAATTTTTGTATTTTTAGCAGAGACGTGGTTTCATCATGTTGGCCAGGCTGGTCTCGAGCTCCTGGGCTCAAGTAATCCACGCACCTTGGCCTCCCAAAGTGCTGGAATTACAGGTGTGAGGCAGCATGCCGACCTACTTTCATAAATGCAAAGAAAAAGGCCTGAAATAACAAACTGCACTGTTTAATGTATGTGTGTGTTTCACTGGGGGCCCTGGGGGAATAGGAGAAGAGGGTGAGGACTTTAGACCTGAGAATGTACTCACAAAGCTGCTCATGAAATAAAAAGATCAAAGAAAAATTCACATCCTTCACAGATGAATTCAACTAATTATATAGGACAGGAATTAACTAGAAGCATCTTTCCAAAGGCAATCTAACCTCATCTATGATAGATTCTCAGACAATATCAGGAGAGAAAACCCTTCATTATTAGCAAGAAGCAGCCAAACTATATATAAACCAATCTGTTACATGGAAAACATTACACAACCTGCTTAAAAAACTATTTCATTAAAGAATGCTTTAAATGTTTTACGGAGAATAAAAAGAAAAAATCTTTTAGGAAGGTTCACCTGTAGTAAGGGGCAAAAGAAAGTATACTGTCCCAAGTTTGGGGACACAAGGTAAAGGGTTAAACAAAACCAACCAAAAAACAAAAAGAAAACACACAAAAGCTCCCAATTCGACTTTTGTTAGCGGGGGCAAAAAAGGAGAGATGACATATTTCTCTTCAGAAATTTGCCACTACCCACCCCCTTTTTCCTATTCCCATGCCAGGGTACTCGCAAAATTAGAAAGCAGCAAAAAAATGAGATGAATACAGCTTCAGAAAAGATCTAATCAAAACACTGCTAAAGTACTCATGTGCTGAAGATATCAGTTACACACATTCAAACTGATCCTCCCACCAAAAGCTATCACAGTGGTGGGCAAAATAGTGGCTAAGGTGTCTCTGGAGAACTGCTCAGTAGAAAAGTACGCCTCTGTAATAGAGAATATATGATTAGCTCCTATATTTTGGATGAAAGCCCCTCATTAATCCAAATCAAACCCTTCTCTATCAACACACTACAGAACATGACATACAGCGTTTCTGAGGCAATGGGAGGGACAGTGACAGCATTTTTTAACAGAATATAGCAGGTACAAAAAGAAAAGGCATGATACAGCATGGCCTATTTGAAAAATTTTAAAAGTGTCCAGTAGGTTTGGAAATTGGAGAAGCAGTCTTAAGTCCAGGGTCTTGCAACACTAAACAGTCATGAGTCCCCTTCCTGGCTGTGAGCCAAGGAAGACTGGGCAAGGAGCTACGTGATCAGTAAGTGCTCTGAAGTAAGTTAGCTCCAGTGGCAATGTGCAATGTCCCAGGAATGGAGGGGCAACAAAGCAGGAAGAGCAGTGAGGAGACTGACCACTGCAATGCACCAGCTGCAAAGTGAGAAGACATGGAGGGCAAGTGAAAATGGGATCAGACCACAAAGCAGCATTTACTGCAACAACCACATGCTTTCTTGTCTATCTCTTTTCACTTACACATTAGGTAAACCAAACTTCCTTTACATTTTGTGGTATCAGCTAGCTTTTTGGTGTTAATCATAATAATCTCCAAGGCAACAAATAAATCTGGGGCTCTATGAATTCACAACATTTCCCACAATTTAAGAACATTCTCTTTTTAGAGACAAGATAGATACAGGCAAACACAAATAGGAATTAGCATGGGAAAGATGGCCCAAGATAAATCATATGTGGTAATAACACAATTTCAAGAACGATTATGTAAGAAAGAACGTGACTGAAATATGACTAAACCTATAGTGTGTAAAAAACAGAGTATCTAAAAATCTTTAAATTTAAATATTATTTTCATTGCTTTTTTTTTTTTGAGATGGAGTCTCGCTCTGTTGCCCAGGCTGGAATGCAGTGGTGCGATCTCCACTCACTGCAAGCTCCGCCTCCCGAGTTCACGCCATTCTGCTGCCTCAGCCTCCCGAGTAGCTGGGACTACAGGTGCCCACCACCACGCCCGGCTAATTTTTTTTTTGTATTTTTAGTAGAGACGGGGTTTCACCGTTTCACCGTGTTAGCCAGGATGGTCTCGATCTCCTGACCTTGTGATCTGCCCACCTTGGCCTCCCAAAGTGCTGGGATTACAGGCGTGAGCCACTGCGCCCGGCCTTTTTTCACTGCTTTTGAGGCCTGCCTCTTCCTCCTTTCCTGTGTGTGATGGGTTTCTGATTTGCTCTTAAAATCTTGTCATTGGAAATAAGAAAAAGGGATATAAAGATCTTGCGGGGCCTCCAGAGCCACGATGAGAACTTTGGTCTTGATCCTGAAATCGGCGGTACCCAGAGGGGCCACACAGAGTGGGCTGTTGTATTTAGGTTAGTTAAAATGTTAAGTATGGAAGAGATGGACAAGATGGATTCAGAAAAACACACAGGACTTAGATACACAAAGTGAAAAAAAAAAAAAAAGGCAATACAAAGAATTAGATGGCTAAAGTAAGGAAACGTGGGGTGGGTAGATGGGCCCAGGTACACAGAGCCAGCATGAGTTCCTGCTCAAATAAAGCCATTCATTTATCATTAACTCTGTTCTTCCAGTCCTCCAGCTTCAAAAAGAGATGGCCCCTGCTTCCTGCTGAAACTAATGCCCCCCTCCTATAGGTCTCCACTCTTTCTTGTTCCCTCAATGCCCTTGCTCCTAGAAAACAATCTGCCTTCCATTTCAAAATCTGGCTTTACAAATGGACTTTACACTTAAAAATAATCCACCTATGCCCAACCCCCCATCTGAAAGAGAACACTCACAATGATTCTGCTGGACCCTTCTTCAACAGTTTTACCCTTCATATTTGTTTTTCCCAAGGCAGCAGACTATCCCCATAGTCACAACCTTTCACTTTCAGGCTGACTCAGCCTGATTGTCTAGACATTTGTATTTCTCCTAAGTGAATCCTGATGATCTAATCCACTCACAGTAATCCCATGTTCCCAGCCAGTGACTGGTTCAGACAAAAGCATTGTGACCCAATGCTGGCCAAGATGAGAAGTCTACCTGGTGAGGGGTGAGAGTGGCATGGGGTCCCACAGGGGAAATAAACAAACAGTTGTCTTAAAAAGATATGTATTTCCAGCCAATGCACCTATGAAAAAAAAAAAAAAACTATAGAGGAAGAGGCCCTATTACTGCTAGGCACTACTTAATTTGATGAGACACCTAGCTGTAGTCAGCACGGGACCATAAGGGCTAGCAGAGGACAACATGTGGAGGACAGCAGTTTAAAGAGAGAAATGGGGTGGGCACTGTGGCTCACACCTATAATGCCAGCACTTTGAGAGGTCGAGGCAGGAGGATCACTTGAGCCCAGGAGTTCGAGACCGGCCAGGACAACATGGTGAAACCCTGTCTCTACAAAAAAATACAGAAAAATAATAAAGACAGAAATGATCTGAGTCTCTGATGACCTCAGTGAGGCACTGACATCACCCAAATTAGACTCTGCCATCTTGTTTAAGCCAGATGAGTACAGGTTTCATACTATCCCTTCTTTTACTCCAACCAAAGGCATGTGAACAGATTCATCCATCAAACAACAGCTTTTTCTTTTCTTCTTTTTTTTTGAAACAGTCTCACTCTGAAGCCCAGGCTGAAGTGCAGTGGCACGATCTTGGCTCACTGCAAACTCCGCCTCCAGGATTCAAGCGATTCGATTCTTGCGTCTCAGCCTCCCGAGTAGCTGAGATTAGAGGTGTGCACCGCCACGCCCAGCAAATTTTTATATTTTTAGTAGAGACATGGTTCTGCCATGTTGGCAAGGCTGGTCTCGAACTCCTAACCTCAAGTGATCTGCCCATCTCAGCCTCCCAAAGTGCTGAGATTACAGGCATGAGCCACCATGCCCGGCCACAAGAGCTTTTTCATTAGTATTCTGACCTTTGGGATGTACCTGAAAAAGCTCAACAAGTATTTTAAAGTTTTTAATATTATATACTATTTTGATTTTTAATTTTATTTCATGTATGTAATTCTTCCTTTTTCATGAGATTAAAGCACTGACTAGCTTGTTTTCCAGAACTGCTTTTTCTTACATCTTTAACAGCCTAACTCTGACAGGCACATCCTTCCTAATAAAGCCATAAAGATCAACTTTATTTCACTTTTTAAAAAGTGAAAATCAATTTAATTTACTCCACTCCAGGCCTTACTTAGTAAAACCTATATTGGAAAGGATTAGCATGTAAAAAATGCTATACATTCCCTTTCCAATACAGACTGTACTAAAGTTTTTACTTTAAAACTATTTAGGTAATTTAAATAAAACTACTGGAAATGGCCGGGCACGGTGGCTCACGCCTGTAATCCCAGAACTTTGGGAGTCCAAGGCAGGCGGATCACGAGGTCAGGAGATTGAGACCAACCTGGCTAACACGATGAATCCCCGTCTCTACCAAAAAATACAAAAAAAAGTTAGCCGGGGGCGGTGGCAGGCGCCTGTAGTCCCAGCTACTCGGGAGACTGAGGCAGGAGAATGGCGGGAACCAGGGAGGTGGAGCTTGCAGTGAGCCGAGATTGCGCCACTGCACTCCAGCCTGGGTGACAGAACGAGACTCCGCCTCAAAAAAAAAAAAAAAAACTACTGGAAATGTTAACACATTTTCTTGCCATTTTTCCTCCATAGGAAACAAACAATTTAAACAACCCTATAATCAGCCAATAGCCTTTGTGGAATAAGTTGGACATTAAGGGGGAAACACTGAAGAAATAAATAAGTGAAACATGTAAAGGTATGAAGTCGTTACATTGGAATCTTTCAAAGATACATAAAACATCACTGAACTATGTACTTACTGGACTTTCCTGGCAGAGACACCCAAGAAGTAGTGCTGTGTAGGAGGCCACAATGCAATCCTCCATGTGTTTGCCGGCATGCTGAAGGGCTGAGAGAATTGAAGTAAAGAATTGTAACAGTATATTAATTAACACAAACCTCACAAAACCAACCATTCTGTTAGTTATCTTTACTTTAAAACTGCTACAAATCAACGAATGATGCTAGGACAACTGGATATCCACAGATTAACAAAAATTTAATCAAAATGAAATAGGGATCCAAAAGAAAAGCTGAAACCATAAAACTTTTAGTTAAAATTTTTGTGTTGCAAAGGACACAATTAACAAACTGAAAAGATTAATCCACAGAATGAGAAAATATATTTGCAAATCATGAACTTGATAAGGGTCAAGTATCCAGAACATATAAAAAACATTCTTACAACTCAACAACAAAAACAACCCAATTAAAACTGGGCAAAGGGCCAGGCGTGGTGCCTCACACCTATAATTCTAGCACTTTGGAAGGCTGAGTTGGAAGGATCACTTGAGCTCAGGAGTTTGAGACCAGCCTGGGCAACATAGTGAGACCTCCTCTCCATTAAAATTCAAAAACCTTTAATGGGTGTGGCGGTGCACGCCTGTAGCTCCCAGCTACTTGCAAGGCTGAGGTGGGAGGATCGCTTGAGCCTGGGACGTCAAGGCTGCAGTAAGCCCTGATCGTGCCACTGCTCTCCAGCCTGGGTGACAGAGCAAGACTCTGTCTCAAAAACAACAAAAACAACCCACAAAACCGGGCAGAAGACTTAGAGATTTCTTCAAACAAGATACACAAATGGCCAATGAGTTCATGAAAAGATGGTCAGCATCATTAATCACCAGGGAACTGCAAATCAAACCACAATGAGATATCATGTCACGCCCACTAGGATGACTAAAAATTTTCTTTTACAATACAAGTAACTTGGAACCTTCATACGTTGCTGATGGGAATGTAAAATAGTGCAGCCACACTGGAAAACAATTTGGCATTTTCTTAGAATGTTAAAACACACAGTTACATACAATCCAACAATTCCAACTCCTAGGTATAAATCCAAAAGAAATGAAAATGTATGTCTACAAAAAAACTTGTAGATAACTGTTCAAAAAGCTAAAAAGCAGAAACCACTCAAATGTCCATCAGTAAACAAATAAACTATGGTATAACAATATTATGGAATATTATTTGTCTAAGGAATACAGTATTAACAAATACTGTATCACGGATGAACTTTGAAAACATTCTGCTGGCTGAAAGAAGCCAGTCATAAAAGGCAACATATTGTATGACTCCTTTTTAAATGGAATGTCCAAAACAGGCAAATCCATAGACACAGAAAGTAGATTAGTGGTTGCCAGTGCCCAGGGAGGAGGGGAAAATAGGGGTGATGGCTGCTAATGGGTATTGGGTTCCTTTAGTGGTGATAAAAACAATATTTGGAATTAGTGGTGATGGCAGCACAACCTTGTGAATACATGAAAAACTACTGAATTACTCATTTTTAAAGGATGAATTGTACAGTCTGTGAATTCTATCTCAATAAAGCTGTAACTTTTTAAAAGACTGCTAAAAAACCAAAAATGTTATTACGCCAAAAAAAAAAAAAAAAAAAAGAAATGCATCAAAACCTAGTAACTGAGAAAAAGGAAAAGACAAGTATTACAATATTAAAACTAATGGTGATCAGATTTGGGGAGGAGTGGGAGTAACAGGAGAAAAGGCTCAGAACGAGACGTTGCTGCGGCTTGCTTCCTACTGATGTGAAGCTGAACATATGGTCGTCCCTCTGCATCCAAGGGGTATTGGTTCCAGGATGCCAGCACCCTCCAATACCAAAACTGGAGGAGGCTCAAATCTCTGACAGGAAAGGGTGCAGTATTTGCATATAAGTCACACACATCCTCTGGCATACTGTAAATCATTTCTAGATTACTTATGACACCTAATAAAATGTAAATGTTATGTAAATAGCTGTTATACTATATTATTTACTAACCTGTATTATTTTTTCTTCCTCAAATATTTTTGATTTGTGGTTGGCTGACTCTGTGGATGTGGAACCCACATGTATGGAGGGCGGACTGAACTTAAATTCATAACCTTAGTGATACAAAGTTACAAATGGCTATTTTGCAGAACTTGTATAAATGGCAAAAGTTGTATCACAAATTCTGACAACAGTAGATACTCAATAATGTATGATTAGCGAAGATATTACCTCTAGTATCTTTTTTTTTTTTAATGAGAAAGGGCCTCACTCTGTCACCCAGGGTGGAGGGCAGTGGCACAATCATAGCTCACTGTAACTTTGAATTCCTCAGCTCAAGCAATCCTCCCACCTCAGCCTCCCAACCACCTAGGACTACAGGCTTGTGCCACCATGCCAGGCTAATTTTTTATATTTTTTGTAGGGATGGGGTCTTGCTAGATTGTTGTCTCAAACTCCTAGCCTCAAGTAATCCTCCTGCTTCAGCCTCCCAAAGTGCTGGGCTCACAGGTGTGAGCCACCAGCCTACAGTATATTTCTTACTGTGTTTACCATCTAGTACTTACACTTTGAGAACTATTACTGTAATCTGACAATAGATCTTCAAGTTTAAAGTGAAGCTGAAAAAACAATCTCAAAAACTGAAAACTGAAAAAATCCTATTATGTCTCCTATATGTCTCTTCACAGATAAGTAAAGGAAAGGAGGGCCCCGGAAGGAAGAGTGACTTAACTGGATCTTTCCCGTCACTAGCATGCCTGCCACTGGCACGCACCTTCCTCACTGTGGGAGAACTACCACAAGCACTTAAGTATCAAAGCTTGTCTGGACTGAACTAGAGAGGTCCTCAAGCAATAGCCAGATTAAGACAATCTGCAAATTAAAATAGTTTGAAGAAAAAAACAAAATCAAACCACTATCTTCAATTTAAATACACCATTCAAAGTAAATATACCTTTATTGAGGTCAAGTTCTTCATCCTCCTCCTCCTTCTTATGTTTCTCTTCTGTACCATCAGTCTTTTCAGTTGACACCCACTGTATTTCTCCACTTGTTTCTTGCCACTCTCCACTCTTATCATGCTGAGTGGTGGGAGCATCTTTGATCAACTCATCTGTTTTACTTTCTGCTAGCTGGGCTGCCCGCTCTCGCTCAAGGAATAGCTGATAAAAATTATTTTTGAAGATCATTAAAAAGAGATTGCCAATCAATATGCATATATGCAAATATAAAGTTATAGTTGCTTTTAAATCTATCACTAACTCTAAGATGGTTATGTGATAAAAAGAGGTGAGTATAAGTAAAAGCTTTTGCTCTACACCCTACTGAAAGCCAAAACGAAAGTATAAATGCTGCTAAGATTCAATGAAGTCATCTAATAATGATGCAAGAATGAGTCTCAATAATTTCCCTTAATTTGCATAATACAAGAAATTCAAGCAAAAAAATACAAAATTGGAAAATTCTTAAGTCAAAAGGGAATATGCTAAATTCCTTGCCTTCACTTACTTTATTTTCCCTATGCTGGTATAGTACTGACACATAGAAAAAACACTGACACAATTTGGGAAATGCTCCAAGTTACTAGAAAGAATTGCCTGAAAATCAAATGCCAAGTAGACCTCAAAGATTTGTTGAGTATACAGAAGAGTGGTATACAAACTTCAAAGAGAGATTATATAAAATAATATCTTTCAGAAAATAAAAATTAAACTTTATAGAGAGCAGCAATTCTCAAAATTGGTCTAAGAATCCCTACGGATCCTTAAGACCCTATCAGGGAGTAAAGGAGGTCAAAATTACACTCATACTACTACTAAGGGGTCTGCTGACTTGTTTCTTCTTTCACTGAGTGCACAGTGGAGTTTTGGAATCTACATGCCATGTGATTATGTCACTGCTCTAACAGCTAATGTAATGTCTCCCAGTTTCAATTTCTAATTCAGTAAATATAGACAGATAAAGCACATATAAACAACAAAAGCTCTCTGGATTTCCCAATAATTTTCAAGCCCTGAGATAAAAATGTATTAGAAGAGAATGATGGACTCCTACTTATGACTCCAGGAAGAACTGAGTTGTTGGGGGTTACAGGTTACTCTGAAGACACAACTTCAAGGATTACTGCTTTTGAAAAGGCCAAAAAAGGAAGCTAAACACAGCAAGGGCTTTGGAAAAATAAAAAGAATGAACCACTACTGTTTCTGGACATATACAAAATGCCATTTAAGGAAATACCAAAAACATCCAGGAACCTGTTAGACTGGCAAAAATCTTGGCAAGAGTATGAAAGAATGGGGACTCTTATAAAAAAAAAAAGTTTTAGGGGGAAGTATAAATTAAGGGCACAGGAAGTATGTGTTTGGTGATGAGGGTGGGAGGAGTTAGGCATATCAACTTTAAATACAGTACAATATATTCTGACACAATTCCTAAACCAGGAAATTATGCCCACAGACATACTTTGAAAAGTATGGCCTGGCCATGCAGGGTGGCTCATGCCTGTAAATCCTAGCACTTTGGGAGGCTGAGGCAGGCGGATCACTTTAGGTCAGGAGTTGGCGACTAGCCCGGCAAACACAGTGAAACCACCTCTACTAAAAATACAAAAATTAGCCAGGCGTGGTGGCGCAAGCTTGTAATCCCAGCTACTTGGGAGGCTGAGGCAGGAGAATCACTGGAACCTGGGAGTCAGGGGTTGCAGTAAGCTGAGATGGTGCCGCTGCACTCCAGCCTGGACGACAGAGCAAGACTCTGTCTCCAAAAAAATTTAAAAAAAAGAAAAGTATGGCCTAAGATTTAGATGCTATGGTATTTATTTCTGTAATTTTTGTAACAAAATAAAACTTAAAAAAACAGAAAACCATCAAAAAGTGTATCAGTAGAGGTTTGGTTAAATAAAGTACTAAGGCAGGGCATGGTGGCTCATGCCTGTGATCCTAGCACTTCAGGAGACAAAGCAGGAGGATCACTTGAGTGCAAGAGTTTGAGACCTCAGCTCTACAAATACGAAACTTAGCCAAACGTGGTGGCATGTGCCTGTAGTTCCACCTACTTGGGAGGCTGAGGTGAAAGGATCACCTGAGCCTGGGAGGTAAAGGCTGTAGTGAGCTGTGACTGGACCACTGTACTTCAGCCTGGGTAAAAGAGTGAGACCCTGTATGTATGTATGTATAAATCAAAAAGCTACTAGTTTGCAGTCATTACAAAGAATGTGATGAACCTACGTGTTGACATGAAGAGCTCAGGAAGACACATTAAGCAAAGAGTGGGTATAGACTAAATACTATGTACAGTAAGAGTCCATTTATATAAAACACATTGCACATTTTTTTATTTACTTTTCGGACAGGGTCTTATTCCCATTGCCCAGGCTGGAGTGCAGTGGCAGGATCATGGCTCACTGCAGCCTCAACTTCCTGGGCTCATGTGATTCTCCCACCTCAGCCTCCCAAATAGCTGGGACTACAGGCACATGCCACCACACCTGGCTAATTTTTTAATTTTTAGTAGAAACATAATTTTGCCATGTTGCCCAGGCCAGGCTCAAACTCCTGGGCTCAAGCAATCTGCCTGCCTCAGCCTCCCCAAGTGCTGGGATTACAGATTACAGGCATGAGCCACCATGTCTGGCCTGCACATTTATTTTGATATATGCATAAACACTAATTTCTCAGGACAAACACAAAACTATTACAAATGGTAACGTTTTAGGAAATAGATCTGTGGAGTTTAAACCTTTCTGGATCTGACTTTTTTTCCCCCACTACGTATGTGAATTATGTTTGGTTTTTAAAAAATAAACAGATCCATAAATAGGTAAGAAAAGAACAGCTAGAAAGAGGAAAGTTCATGTCAGTAATCAGAACTACCTGTAAGATTCCATTTATACAACATTATCGAAAAGATACGTAATTTGAAAATTACTGGATTCAGGCCAACGTTATCAGTAGCATAAACGATATAAATCTGAACATGGATTTTTCCACTCTATCTTTGAATAACAGAATTAAGAGCCATTTCTTGACACTTTAAGGTAACTGATGTGAGTACAAGGCAGCACAATTTTCTAAAATGAGTAACAGAACCCATCACCCAAAAGGTATTACAATTGAAAAACAAAAACTTTAAACTGATTTAAAAATGACAAACCATAAACCATAGCAGATAAAAGAAAGACAGAGAAGATATAGGATGATACCCTGAAGGACAAGAGGCTTCTATAACACTAAGTGCAAAAGAGGAATACTGGAAGTGATATTCCCAGGTCAATTAGACACAGTAGGAAAATTTGAGACTATCCCTGAAACAACTCACAAACAGGGATCTCTGAGGGTGTGGGGATGGCTTCTGCAAATGAACCCCTATTATGTGGATAATGCAGATCTATCATCTGTGCCTTCAAACACAGCTCCTGAGGCGACTGACGGTAAGTTTTTATTCATTTCTAGGTTCCATTTGAAGAAAAGTCAATTTTTAAAAGAAAGAGACTAGAATGATAGAAAAAAATAAAACAAGAGATGGAAAAAGATAGAAAACACGTTGGTGGTAGCTAGGAGACAGGGAGGGCAGGTAGGCTGTACAGTGAGCAGCAAAAGGGAATTCTTTTATGGTGACGGTTCTATATCTCAATGTAGTGGTGAGTACATGAATCTATACACGTAATAAAACTGAACAGAGGTACATATGTTACACACAAACATAAATGAATGCAGATGAAAATGGTGAAACTGAATAAGGTCTAAAGTGCAGTTAACAGTAATGTACTAATGTCAATTTCTTGGTTTTGCTATAGTACTACAGTTATATAAGATGTCACCATTTGAGGAAGTTAGGTAAAGGGTAAATGGGAGGGATTCTTTGTACTATTTTTGTAACTTCCTGTGAGTCTATAACTATTTTGAAATAAAAAGTTTAAAAACAAGTCTACTGAACAGAAAAAAAGAATACTTTTTTTAAACGTTTTTGAGACAGGGTCTCACTCTGTTGCCCAGGCTGGAGCACAGTACTGTAATCACGGCTCACGACAACTTCAAACTCCTGGGTGCAAGCAATCCTCTCACTTCAGCGTCCCGAGCAGCTGGTACTATGAGCATGCACCACCACACTCAACCAACTGTTTTATTTTTTGTACAGACAGGATCTCACTATGTTGCCCATGCTGGTCTCAAACTCCTGAGCTCAAACAATCCACCCACCTTGGCCTCCCAAAGTGCTGGGATTATAGGTGTGAGCTACCTTGCCCGGCCAAGAAATGCTTCATTTAGCAGAAAAATAAATGTTGTCAATGGGATCAAAGCGGTAGGTGCCAAACATTTTCAAATGTTTTTTGCATTAAATGAAATCTCTAAATGGTATCTGGAGACTAAAAGCAGTCTATTATCAACTATTGATAGTAAATTACTACTACCATTTACTATTACTGTTACTGATAAGTAATGATAATCTATCACTAGTTTCACATTTAATTTTGTATTTTAAATAAACTAAAACTTCAAGGCTAGTCAAAACGGAGTATTCTGAGTCTAAGAAGAAAAGCCTAGGGATTAACTACCTCTTATCTATAGTCAACATTCAATCACACATAATAGAGAACAAAAGAGGATAATAAAAAATGACTTTAAATGGCTCAAAGAAACACTCTCATTCACAATTTCCCATGCTCGGCTACTTTGCCACTTTCCAGACTGGGTAAGGGAACAGGTGACAAAGGACTTCCAGTTTTCTGTGGTCCATAAGGTCAAAGTTCTGGACACAGATCAGACGAGTAAATAAATACTAGAGGACACGAAGTGGATGTGATGGGCCTGGATTCTTGACTTTTTTTTTTTTTTAATAGAGATGGGAGCTCACTATGTTGCCCAGGCTGGTCTTGAACTCCTGGACTCAAGTGATCCTCCCCACCTCAGTCTCCCAAAGTGCTGGGATTACAGGCGTAAGCCACTGCACCCAATTTCATTAATAGAACAAATGTGCCTTTGTCTCTGCTTTTTGGTAACAATGCTTAAGGAGTGATTATAACAGTCGAAAAAAAATCAGCAAAATAAAGTAAGAATGCATTCTAAGCAGTGTACCTCTTACTGATCTACAGAGAAATTATACCACCTTTTTTTTTTTTTGGAGACAGAGTCTTGCTCTGTTGTCCAGGCTGGAGTGCAGTGACATGCCACTTCGGCTCACCGCAACTTCCACCTCCTCAGTTCAAGTGATTCTCCTGCCTCTCAGCCTCCTGAGTAGCTGGGATTACAGGTGCATGCCACCATGCCTGGCTAACTTTTGTATTTTTAGTAGAGATGAGGTTTCACCATATTGGTCAGGCTGGTCTTGAACTCCTGACCTCAAGTGATCCACTTGCCTCAGCCTCCCAAAGTGCTGGGATTATAGGCGTGAGTCACTGCGCCCAGCCTATACCACATTTTTAATTGGTTACAAATTCTGGTTTAAAATAAGCTTTCACCCTAGACGCTGTGAATATTTAAAAATTGGTCAGGTGTAAAACAGTCCCTTTCTACCCCAGCAGAGACATGCTTCAGGAGTTCTAACTAAAAAGGCCGGGGGAGGGGCAGAGAGGGCCAGCAGTGGATGGGCAAGAAAAGGAGGTAAAAGGTGCAAATGATAAAAGAAATTGGACAAATCCAACAAACTGCAGTTATGAGTTTGTTTTTAAAGTGGTTGCTTACCTGCACTAAAGCCTGGACAGCATGAACTTGTCCACCTATCCTTAAACTATCATCCCCTTCTCCACTACAGATGGAAGAATCAAAAGAGCACGATGTTTCCATGTTGACAAGACAGTGCCGATTCCGAGCACTATACTCCACTAGATTTATCAGCAGACCTAAGCCCTTCAAAAAGTTTAAAAGACACATATTATCAGAGATGAGTACTTAAAACAAATGAACACAATATACACAATTTTTAATGGCAACTAAAAAGCTGAATATCAGTGTTCTACCACCTACAAAATGGCTAAAAACCAGTATGAAAGGCCAAAAAGAAAAAAAGAAAAAAAAAAAAGAAAAAAGGCCAGGCACAGCGCTCATGCCTGTAATCCCAGCACTTTGGGAGGCCAAGGTAGGTGGATCACTTGAGGCCAGGAGCTCGAGACCAACCTGACAAACATGGGGAAACCCCATCTCTACTAAAAATACAAAAATAAGCCAGGTGTGTTGTCAGATGCCTGTAATCCCACCTAATTGGGAGGCTGAGGCAGGAGAATAGCTTGAACCCAGGAGATGGAGGTTGCAGTGAGCCGAGACTGTGCCACTGCACTCCAGCCTGGGCAAGAGAGTGAGTGAGACTCCATCTCAAAAACAAACAAAAAAAGAACAAAAAAAACAAAACAAAAAAACCACCGATTTTCCCAAAGAATCATTCCTTTTATTTTTAATTGCCAATTTTAGCTTTCGTACTTTTTATTTTTACATAGGGTCTTTTCATGGCTTTCTTTTGCACAATAAGAAGTACGTTCAGCCAGACGCAATAGCTCATACCTGTAATCCCACCACTTTGGGAGGCTGAGGCGGGCAGATCACTTGAGGCCAGGAGTTTGAAACCAGCCTTGGCAACATGGCAAAACCCCGTCTCTACTAAAAATACAAAAATTAGCCAGGCGTGGTGGCACATGCCTACAGTCCCAGCACCTGGAAGGCTGAGGCAGGAGAACTGCTTGAACCAGGGAGGCGGAGGTTGCAGTGAGCCAAGATGTTGCCACTGTAGACTCCATCTCCCAAAAAAAAAAAAAAAAAAAAAAAAAAAAAAAAAAAAAAAAAAAAAAAAAAAAAAGAAACACACACAGTAAGTTCATAAGGAAATTCATGAAAAAAAACCCACAATATATTAAAGGGTTGGTTCTTAAACCCAAACTAAGGTTAACATTTTGCACACCTTATTAGATATGATACTCATTTCTGAAAAAGTCATTTCAACTTACCAGCACTCGAATATCAAATCTCTGCTCCTGAGGTAGGTACTTTGGAACCTGAAGCACACAGTTCAGCGCTGTGCCTATGAGACCGTCCTGCTCTCCTGTTTTGGTGCTGCCCCACTCTGAAATAAGAAATGGATACAGGAAAATGGTTACTGATTCTTCCTTAGAACACTAATAATGGAGATTTATTAACATGGATATTAACTTAGAATTGTATAGTCATTCCTCTATTGAAACATACTATTGATACTTCTGGGTCAAGCTACTAGGCTTCTAAAAATATCAACTCTTAAAAGCAATTTAAACCTACACATGAGTAAGTCAAGTACATTATGACAAATAAAAAAATCACTACCCCAGGAAAAGGAGAAACAAAAATAACTTGTTTTCACATGCAATATACATCTTTCAATGAGAAAAAAATGGAAAAAAATCTTACCATTATCATTAGTTAAATTAAGCAACACCCCGATGATGGCCCTCATGCAGTCCTCCACTGCTTTGCCTACATGGTTAGTTACATTCTGGTGAGGCAGAGGCTTACTGTCAGCTAAGCATATGCTGTCCTCAGCACGGTTGTACTGCTGAATCAGTTCTTCACAATGCTGTAATGCTCTTAAAAGGAAATAAAATATAGACTATTATAGTAAATAATAATAGGTACACAGCAAATTTCTATTTACTTGAACCTAAAGGCTATCGGATGAAATTTCACTTTATTTTGGAAAAATCTGATACCTTAAAAAACTTATTCAAGGAATGTTAAAATTAAAAACTTATGGCAGAAGTTTATATCTGTACTATCTACATTTACCACTAGTAATCTCTTTATTTCCAAATTGTCTCGCATGTTATTGATCTCTCCAATATAAGAGACAGACCACAACCCTTTCTCAAACAGGGCAAATGGTTAACAGCTAATGTTGGACACTTCTGAGGTAGTAAATGTTATTACTACATAACAAATGTTAATGTAAAGACAAGTATTAAATATTTCATACGCATTAGAGCAAATCATTATTTTTATTACCTTCACTACCAACGTTGACAGTATAAATCATTATTTTTTAATTTAAGTTCATTCAAATTGACATGTCTCCTCGACAATTTTCCAAGGGGATGAGCTACATCTAAGGATTCTCGCTCTCCCTCTCCCTCTCCCTCCACAATCTCCCTCTCCCTCTCTCTCCACGGTCTCCCTCTGATGCCAAGCCGAGGCTGGACTGTACTGCCGCCATCTCGGCTCACTGCAACCTCCCTGCCTGATTCTCCTGCCTCAGCCTGCCTAGTGCCTGGGACTGCAGGCGGGCGCCGCCACACCTGACTGGTTTTTGCTGGAGTGCAGTGGCGTGATCTTGGCTCGCTACAACCTCCACCTCCCAGCCGCCTGCCTTGGCCTCCCAAAGTGCGGAGACTGCAGCCTCTGCCCAGCCGCCACCCTGTCTGGGAAGTGAGGAGCGTCTCTGCCTGGCCGCCCATCGTCTGGGATGTGAGGAGGCCCTCTGCCCGGCCGCCCAGCCTGGGAAGTGAGGAGTGCCTCTTCCCAGCCGCCATCCCGTCTGGGAAGTGACGAGCGTCTCTGCCCGGCCGCCCATCGTCTGAGATGTGGGGAGCACCTCTGCCCGGCCGCGACCCCGTCTGGGAACTGAGGAGTGTCTCTGCCCGACCGCCACCCCGTCTGGGAGGTGAGGAGCGTCTCTGCCCGGCCACCCCGTCTGAGAAGTGAGGAGCCCCTCCGCCCGGCAGCCGCCCGGTCTGGGAAGTGAGGAGCGTCTCCGCCCGGCAGCCACCCCGTCCGGGAGGTGGGGGGCAGCCCCCGCCCGGCCAGCCGCCCCGTCCGGGAGGGAGGTGGGGGGCAGCCCCCGCCCGGCAGCCGCCCCGTCCAGGAGGTGGGGGGGTGCCTCTGCCCGGCCACCCCGTCTGGGAAGTGAGGAGCCCCTCTGCCCGGCCGCCACCCCGTCTGGGAGGTGTACCCAACAGCTCACTGAGAACGGGCCATGATGACGATGGCAGTTTTGTCGAACAGAAAAGGGGGAAATGTGGGGAAAAGAAAATCAGATTGTTATTGTGTCTGTGTAGAAAGAAGTAGACATAGGAGACTCCATTTTGTTCTGTACTAAGAAAAATTCTTCTGCCTTGGGATGCTGTTAATCTGCAAACTTACCCCCAACCCCGTGCTCTCTGAAACATGTGCTGTGTCCACTCAGGGTTAAATGGATTAAGGGCAGTGCAAGATGTGCTTTGTTAAACAGATGCTTGAAGGCAGCATGCTCGTTAAGAGTCATCACCACTCCTTAATCTCAAGTACCCAGGGACACAAACACAAGGAAGGCCGCAGGGTCCTCTGCCTAGGAAAACCAGAGACCCTTGTTCACATGTTTATCTGCTGACCTTCCCTCCACTATCGTCCTATGACCCTGCCAAATCCCCCTCTCCGAGAAACACCCAAGAATGATCAATAAATACTAAAAAAAAAAAAAGAAAGAAAGAAAAAAAAAGAAAAAAAGAAAACAAATAAAAATTTGCTAGCAGGGTGAGATGGGACAGAATAAAAGATAGAGCGTAAATCTATAATTGTAAAATACTTAACAGCAGGTGGGTTGCATAAAAAATATAGCATCTAGATCAGGGACAAATGGAAAAGAAGGCGATATTACTGCATTAGGTTCCCAGAGGTGCTATACAAACAGAAACATGTTTTCTAAATGGTGAAACAGGTATTGAAATGACTCTTTATCAGAACTATGAGTCTTTTTCGCAAGAGAAATTGGATTTACTAGTTGAATGTTTTTCTCTTCCTCTGGCCACAAAGGATATTGGGGCAACTTGAGAGAGGAATCAATAATGTAGAGTCTGATGGACACTCAATGATCAGCCTCATAATCTGACTACATAAGCACAATAAAACAAAGTCAGAGTGTCTTGCAAGCTGTCACAGGGGTACTAAGCTGAGAGAAGGACCTTAGTTAAGGCAGCTAGCACTGAGAGGTTTTGTTCAAGCATTCTATCTTTCTATATTCCATTTCACGTCTACTAAATGGTGTCCAAAGTTGCAAAGGTGGTTCTACCCTAATAAGGTAATGGCAAGAAACTATTCTGTATATTGCATGATGATCAGAATAAAACCCAAAGAAATATTTGTAAGGTAAAGGACAAAATGTGTGTGTCATTAAAAACTTTATGATACCAAAAAAAAAAAAAAAGGATTCTCAAGATACTACCCAAAATAACAAGGAAATATAATCCCTAATGGGTCTAGTATTTCTAAAGACACTATTTAAATCACCAAGTCCACGATTTTTAAGTTTAATACAAATCAAGTAAGCTCACTCTGTCAGTTGATTCTTCATGCATTATATATCACACAAAATTCTTAAAGAAACCGTATCTAATCTACGCCTAGTTGCCCTTTAAAACATACTGAGGAAGTTCTGTAAAAGTTCTTAATATTTTACAACCCTTTGGTCAGGAAGGTGTTCCTCATGTCTAACCTAAAATAATTTGTTCTTCTGGTATTGAATGCTGGTCAGGATTACCATACTGTCACTGGTAACTCAACTGTTTTCAGGCTGGGCTAAACTGGGGCTTTGAAGACAAAAGGAGGTTCAGCATATGTTATTTAATCTTTCTGTATGCTATCTCCGAATTGATCATGGTTTCTGCTGAAAAGCTTAAAAACCTAGAGATAAGTGCTCTTTTACAAACACTCAATTCTGACCTCTACTGCCACTTCCAAGACATTTGGCCTGAATTTCCTAATCACAACAAAAGAGCACCTGTCATATCAAATACTTCCTCTTACAAGGTAGTTGTCAGAGGTTATGAAGTATACAAAAGAGATATTTTTAAATCAGAAACAACATACACAATTTTTCTTAATTTAAAAAAGAAAATGAAATCAGAAACATTTAACTTCAATAATCTTTGGTAAGGAAGGGTAAAAACATGGTAGCAAACAACCAGAATGCATGCGGTAAGAGCACTAAATACAGGCAATGCACAGTGGCTAATGCCTGTAATCCCAACATTTTGGGAGGTCAAGGCAGGAGAATCACTTAAGCCCACGAGTTTGAGACCAGCTGGGACAACATAGCAAGACCCTGTATCTATTAAAAAAAAAAAAAAAAAAGAGAGTGCTAAATATATATAAAATAGGCCAGGCACGGTGGCTCACATCTGTAATCCCAACACTTTGGGAGGCCAAGGCGGGTGGATCACCTGAGGTCAGGAGTTCGAGACCAGCCTGGTCAACATGGTGAAACCCCGTCTCTGCTAAAAATACAAAAATTAGCCAAGTGTGGTGGCGCACACCTGTTGTCCCAGCTATTCGGAAGGCTGAGGCAGGAGAATCATGTGAATCCAGAAGGCAGAGGTTGCAGTGAGCCGAGATCATGCCACTGTACTCCAGCCTGGGCTCAGAAAAAAAAATAAAATAAAATAAAGAAAAATAAAATATACAAATGCAAGATACAAAACGTACAAATCCAAGACAAAAAAAGGAGATTTTAAAAACCTACAGATTAAGAAAATCTACTGAGACTAGAAATTTGAGACTACTGAAAATTAGAATATTGACTAAACATAAAATATTAAGCAACTAATAATGTGTGGCATGAAAATGGCACTGGGGTTATATTTTTTAAAAGAGTCCTTTTCTTCTAGGCATTATGTACTTAAGTATTTATGGACGAAATAATATCTGGATCTGTTTCAAATAATACAGGAGAGGGAATGGATGAGGTTACAGATGGAAACCAGACTGGCCATGATTGATAATGTGTACATTACAGTTTATTACACTATTTATATTTGAATTCCTCCAAAATAAGAGGTTAAAAAACAGATAAACTAGAGTAAGACTGCAATGGGCCTTTGATAAGGCTGACTTCAATAAGAAAGTTGTACATATATCCAAAGACAATAAGGAATCAGAGATTTGAGAAATTAAAATTATTTTTTCAAAGCAGCGATTTGGAGAAAGTTAACTCCATGTGGTATTGTTCTGGATAGGCTAAAGGCCAGAGAACTAGGGCAGATATCAAGAACTAGGACAGAGATATCAGGAAGAGGTTGCTGTAATAAGACAGAACCAGGACTGGAGACATACTTGGGAATTTTACCTGCAAGGAGGTGACAGCATTAGCCTAATTGTGATGAAATGTGGGAAGAAATAAATGTGGAATGGAAGAAGCTACATACAGATATAGAAAAACAGGTCTAAATAAAGTGCAGAAGAACAGAGAAAAGTCCATTTAAAACAAGAATGAGGAAAAATGCTTAGTATTTACTATACGCCAAGTACTGTTCTAGGCTTTGCACATTAACTAATTTAACTCATTAATATGTATCACAAATGATACAAAAGATACTTTAAAAATCATTTAAATTTAAATTTTTTATATGTATTTTTAATATACACATATTTTTAAATATCTACTATGTATATATTTCTTACAAACATACAAATTAACTCATTTTACTGTAATAAAAATCCTAGGTGGGTTAGCCACTATTATTATCCCCCTTGTAAAGAGCTTGATTTGTACATTACAAAAGTTATACAGCTGAAATTATCAAGCTGGAATCCACACTGTCATTTTGTGTCCAAAATCTGTACTCTTAAAACTTTTGTTACACAATGTGAACCAATTCACAGAACTCAACAGAGCATTTCATGGAGGAAGCTAATCCAAATTTCTTTCATTTATGGTCAATCCAAATGTTTAAAATAAGTAACAATGTTAGTTGTTAACTAATAAACAAAAAACTTACTTAGCTGATGAAACAATAAGTTGGGAATCTTTATATGCTATCAAGTAGCTTTGATTTTCGGGATTATGCACAGTTACCTAAAAAGGAAGAATATGAAATAATTGTGGCAATCCAAAACTTTCATTCATTCATGTAACACCACATTCTGCCTGGTGCGTAAAAGATACAAAGATGAGGAAGAAACAGCCCTTGTTACCAAAGGGAATAATTTCACAACCTACAGGTTCCAGGTGTAAAATAAGAAAGCTAATGCTTTATGAAAAAATTAAGACATCACTGTTATATTCATTCATAATTAACATATTCTACACTACATATTCACTGTAACGAATTGCCAAACACACTGAATGTCAGAATAGAGCAGTCCTCAACTTACAAATAACGTAAAGTTCATAAGTAGATTCATTTAGAACACATTTTTACAAAGAAGTATCTGTTATCTACTGTGCCCAAAGCACTCTAGAAGACACATGGAACGCTACAATTTAATCTATGCCAGGAGCTTTTAATTTATACTATACTACTTTTAAAATAACCTGGTGAACAAACCTATGCATCCTGAAATTAGCTGGCAGTATAAATTCTAATCTATACGGAACTGGGTTAAGTCTTTCGTAAGAGTCAAAGAACAAAATATACTCGCTGCAGTTCAACAGTATCATTCTCCAAAGCCAAATATTATGACAGGCCATGCCTATAAACAATCTGACTCAAATAAAAGTCAAATAAACAAAATGCTAATAACAATTTAAAAATAAAACCTGATTGCATTTCACTATTGTTATCTACAAACAATGTAGTCAAGTAGAAATTCACATTAAGGAAAAAACAATAAAGATTGGAGGGGCCCAGCAAAGTGTAACGCCTGTAATCCCAATACTTTGGGAGGCTGAAGCCGGCAGGCCACTTGAAACTAGGAGTTTGAGACCAGCCTGGCCAACATGGCAAAACCCCGACTCTACTAAAAATACAAAAATCAGAAGGGCATGATGGCACATGCCTATAATCCCAGCTACTCAAGAGGCTGAGGCATGAAATTGCTTGAACCCGGGAAGCAGAGGTTGCAGTGAGCTAAGATCATGTCACTGCACTGTAGCCTGGGTGACAGAGTGAGACTCTGGCTCAAAAAATAATAATAAAAATAATAAAATCTTTAAAAAAGATTGGCATATGTAAACAAACAAGCCTAACATTTCATTTGCAGCAATAATACATGTACTCTTAAAATATAAAACTACTCATTTAGCTTGTTTATTAACAACTGGTTGCTCAAAAAATGTACTGCTATTTCTATCTGGATTAACAGAAGTGAACCTCCAGGGGTATATAAAATATTTGGCAGTCTCTCTCTTACACACACAATCACAATTAAGACTGAATAATTTTTGCCAAATAGTCATCCATACTTACACTTTCTAAAACTCGTAAACATCTCTCTGCTCCCCATAGTGAGGCTACCAGTTTCTCTTCATCCTCATCTCTACTTAAATGATCCACACATTCTTTTACTAGGTGAAAAGAAACAAACGTAAGTTAGTATTTATCATCGATACTTACCAATAGAATACTTTTAGCTAACATTAGAAGCCATCTGTACACACGCTATGAACATGCTGGAACCTCTCTGAACATTTTTTATTCTAGGTTTCATACTGTGAGATTTTGAAATGCATACTCTGTAATTATTTTGTTTCCATAATCCCCCAATATCAAAATGTTAATGGCCTCTTCTTTTTTTTTTTGAGATGGAGTTTCGCTCTTGTTGCCCAGGCTGGAGTGCAATGGCACAATCTCGGCTCACTGCAACCTCCACCTCCCACATTCAAGCAATTCTCCTGCCTCAGCCTCCCAAGTAGCTGGGATTACAAGCATGCACCACCACGCCTGGCTAGTTTTGTATTTTTAGTAGAGACGGGGTTTCTCCATGTTGGTCAGGCTGGTCTCAAACTCCCGACCTCAGGTGATCCGCCCGCCTTGGCCTCCCAAAGTGCTGGGATTACAGGCATGAGCCACCGTGCCCGGCCGGCCTCTTCTTTAAATGTTAGAAATTTGCAGGATGCAACTAAAAAATAATAATGATAATAGACATTTCCAAACTGATACAATTATTTTTTGAAGTACGTCAATGGAGTATTTTCTTCAGGCTTTAAATAATATATAAAAACATTCTAAATGTAAATATCATACCTTTATCTACAATATGATCCAGACCACCCAAAAGCCGGAGTTCTTCTTTAAACCAGTCTCCTGCTCGTTTAGAAGTAAGGGATAATAATGTCTCCATAGCTAAATGCCCAGTCTAAAAACCAGAAGCATCATTAATGAATATCAACTTTTAGCAATAACTCTAGAAATTGTTTCTCTTTACAAAAATTTACTGCATGCTACATGTAGTTTAACACCACTTTTATACATAAAATTGAACTAATTTTCAATTTTATCAGAATAGTCCACATTGAACAAAGTTTTTTAACCAGCTTTTCATAGAGAAAATGTGCTATTAGTCTATCATTTGTCAGTTTAATATTATACATATATATAGGTACTCTTATTTCTACAGTATACAGGTCAAGTGTGGAACTGCTAAGTCAAAGGGTACATGTATTTTTTAACTGTAAATCAATATTGGATTAATTTACCACAATGGATTTAACAAGTAACACTCTCAGGAGCAAAGTGTGGGAGTGCCAGTTGCCCTGAATCTTCAAAAGTACAAGTTATCACTTAACATTTTTGTCTGAGGGTACAAAATGGTAACATACTGCTTTTGTTTGTATTTTTACAACGACAGTAACCTTGAACAGTTTTTCACATATTAACTATGTTTCTACTATGAGACTCCTGTTCATTATTCTTTCCATATTTTCCTGCAAGACTGATTGTCTTTTCTTATTATTTGGTGTATTTTGTCTATTCTGCATACAAATCCTTTGTTCACTTTAGTGTTGCAGACTGACTAGTTTTTAAAGGGCATACTGCGGGCTTAGCAGCTCAGATATTCATCATGTGGCCATGATGACAAAACTGTATACAAATAATGCTTTAGGACCACCACCAGAAGAGTACAAAAGCTAAGAGCCACACTCACAACCTGAGTAAAGTTTTTATTGCCCTTTATTTCACTTTGGCTGTTGTTTTTCTTTTTAAAGCAGACAGCCACTTCCCAACAAAGAGCAATTTGGTTCCTGCTGCAATAAAGAACTTCAGCATAACAAAAGAAATGCTTTAACTAGCAAAGACTGACAAGATCTGGTTTTTCTCCCTAAGTTTCTCCCCTTCAAAAGATGAGAGTTTACATTAAGTCCTTCAGGTCTATTTGAAAAATGCACATAAATTAGATATTTAGAAATACAAATAACAGATATTACCAGTGAAAACCTTAAGACTGCACATTTAGAAAAGATCTAGAAGATTTTAATCTACTTCTTTTAAAAAAGTTGTTCTCGGCCAGGTGCGGTGGCTCACACCTGTATGTAATCCCAGCACTTTGGGAGGCCGAGGCGGGCTGATCACCTCAGGTCAGGAGATTAAGACCAGTCTGGCCAACATGGTAAAACCCCATCTCTACTAAAAATACACAAATTAGCTGGGCGTGGTGGTGGGTGCCTGTAATTCCAGCTACTCGGGAGGCTGAGGCAGGAGGAATTGCTTGAACCCGGGAGGTGGAGGTTGCAGTGAGCCAAGATTTGTGCCACTGCACTCCAACCTGGGCGACAGAGTGAGATCCCGTCTCAAAAAAAAAAAAAAAAAAAAGAGTTGTTCTCCAAGGTGACAAATATAGAACTAGAATCCAATACCACAAAAACAGATACAATTGTGCCCATTTTTCATTCTGTCCCTCAAAGAGTAATTTAGACTGGTTCGTGTGTGTTAATTCATGAGTCATACAGGCAAAGCTGAAGCCTAATGAGGCATTCTTTGTTTAGAAGAAAGGTGATGGTAATTTGATATTAATAATTAAAACTCGAGCCTTTTTAGGAAGTTTTGTTTTTGTTTCTATTGGCATAAAAAGGATTCTTTGATATTTTAGGCTATAGTCAGTATACTATAAGCTAGCATTTAAAAACAGCCTACTAATCAAGCATTTTATTTGAAAACTGGAATAGTACTCAGAATTAAAGCACAGCCAAATCACTAATCAGAAAATAAGAGGAACAGGCCGCAAGATGGCTCACACCTGTAATCCTAGCACTTTGGGAGGCTGAGAGACAAGGATCACTTGAACCCAGAAAGTGGAGGTTGCAGTGAGCTGAGATCGTGCTACTGCACTCCAGCCAGGTTGACAGAGCCAGAGAGTTTCAAGGCAGTGGGGGGGACCCCCGAGGCAGGTCCTTCAGGAGGTATTCCAAGACAAGACATTGTTATCAAGGGAGATGACACCTCCATGCCTGTTTTACTGCCCCTAAAACCTTCCAATGGGACAAGATGTGGAGGTGGAAGACAGTCATATTGATAATCTTGACCCTGTGTGGACCTTGGTTAACGTGTGTGTGTCGCCTTCATTTTTAACAGAAAAAGTTTTAAAAGTTAAAAAATAATAATTTTAAAAGCAGAAAAAAGCTCACAGAATATTTTTGTAGAGCTATACAATTTGTGTTTTAAGCTAAGTGTTATTAAAAAAGAGTCAACAGTTAAACTTTGGGAGCCAGTGTATGGTGTTTATCAAGTCTACAGTAGTGTGCCGTCATGTCCTAAGCCTTCACATACACTCATCACTCACTCACTGACTTACACAGAGCAACTTCCAGTCCTGCAAGCTCTACTCATGGTAAGTGTCCATATGGGTGTATCTTTTTAAATCTTTTATACCATATTTTTACTGTACCTTTTTTATGTTTAGATGCACAAATTTTACCACCATTGTGTTCCAACTGCCTTCAGTGCTCAATACAGTAACATGCTATACAGGTTTGCATCCTAAAAGCAACAGGCTGTACCACATAGTCTAGATGTGTGGCAGGTTATAACTTCTAGGTCTGTGTAAGTACACTCTGATGTTCACACAGCAACAAAATCACCTAACGATGCATTTTTAGAGCATATCTGTCATGAAGCAAAGCATGACTATATTACTATTTTAAATTATCTTTTCATGGCACATCAGCCATACCAATATATTCAAGAAATTAAGCAACTAGTAACAAAAACGTGTAAAGGATATTCATTGTACAAAACAACACAGTAAATCTACTGTACAATTTAAAACAAAAATATTCAAGGACAGCTAACATTAGTGGGGAAAAGAGGAATCCTAAAATTGACAAGTGTGCTCTGGCTTAATCATATGAGTAAACTATTTAATAGAGTGTAGGAAAGTTTTTATTCTGGTATTTATCATCCTAATAAATTCAACAAAACATAAGACAAATTCAATTATCAAGTTTATCATGTTATTTAACAGCATACCTGAAATGAATCTAAATGTTGAATATAGAAGACAAAAAAATAAAGTCATATTCATCCAACTATGCAGGCAAATAAAAACTATAGGCTCAAATTTATTCTTTTATAGCATGAAAAAAATCAGTAGACACTGCAAAAATACAGAAGTAAATAAAAATTATACATGTTTTGGACAGGCGTAGTGGCTCATGTCTGTAATCCCAGGAAGGCCGAGGAGGACAGATCACCTGAGTTCAGTTCGAGACCAGTTTAGCCAACATAGCAAAACTCTGTCTCTACTAAAAATACAAGAAAATTAGCTGGGCGTGATGGCACACGCCTGTAATCCCAGCTATTCAAGAGGCTGATGCATGAGAATCATTTGAACCTGGGAGGTAGAGGCTGCAGTGAGCCGAGATCACACCACTGCACTCCGGCCTGGGTGACAGGGGCAAGACTTCGTCTCAAAAAAACAAACAAACAAACAAAAAAAAGTTTTACATGTAGCATACAGACGATGTGATGACATGGAGGATCATTGATTTGCCATCTGGGCACAACACCTCTCTCCACAATCTTATAAAGTGAAAAGTACTGAATACATGTCAGTTTTGTATCTTGCTGTTTAAAGTTAAATTGCTCTCCCATCCTCCACCATAACCAGAATCTATTACCACCTCTACCTTAATTAAAATAGAGAATAGAGCAAGAGCCTAAGTCACATCTGGCTAGCACAAAGCATCCTATAAATTTTTGTGGCACATGCTGCAGTCTTCAGTTAAGTAGATGTGGAGACACTGGCTTTTGTTTTTTTGTCTTTTGTTTGTTTGGTTTTTTTTGGAGACGTAGTCTTGCTCTGTTGCCCAGGATGGAGTGCAGTGGCGCCAATCTCGGCTCACTGAAACCTCCGCCTCGCCTCCTAGGTTCCAGGTTCAGGCGATTCTCATGTCTCAGACTCCCAAGTAGCTGGGAATACAGGCACCCACCACCACGCACAGCTAATTTTTGTATTTTTAGTGGAGATGGGGTTTCACCATATTGGCCAGACTGGTCTCGAACTCCTGGTCTCAGGTGATCCACCCACCTCGGATTCCCAAAGTGCTGGGATTATGGGCGTGAGCCACACCGCCCAGCCTGGCTTCTGATTAACATCTGTTCTGGGAAAGCCTCTAAAATTTCCAGTTTACCCATTGATCCTAGTGTAAAATCAGGTACTTACTGTATATCCTGCCCTTATGTCAAACAACCTTGATGTACACTGCAATAGCCCTACACATCCATTCTGAATTATGCTTTCCATATAGCATATAAATCCCGGATGTGGGGTGTAATGGCATGGGGATCCCGAGACACAGATACGGCTTTTGTTCCTAAGTCCCTATTAAATGTTTCTTTCTAAAAAACTGGATTTATCAGACTCTTTGGCCTCTCAGCTTCCTTGGACTCTGGAGGTACATTTGCATGGACTTGTCCATTGTGAACAGTAGACAATAATAAATGTTTATAGAGTTTTGATGTTGGAAATGTCTGAAAACCAGGTTATTATACAATAAACACTTATTTTTTCTTTTTTTCTTTTTTTTCAAAACCACAGGCCAATTATCTTCTACTGGCCTAGAAGTGGATGGAATCACCAATATGTGAATGGAACATATTGATTCTACAAGTAAAAAGCCAGAAGAAGGCAAAACTGAACTAAAGCAAAAATGGAATAGCCATCTCACACATGGGGCATTGTGATGAGCATTAAGAGCAGCCACTGGCCATGACTGTATTATAAGGAACACCACCTCAGGGGAGGTGAGGTGCCTAGGAATCTTCCTTGTGGTGTCTTCAGGGTTCTTCAAGTCCCATGAAGCAGTTAGACACCCTGAGGTACTCTGGGATAAATAGATGCTTGCTCATTGAAAAGGCAGTTATGGCGGGGGTGGTGGCTCACGCCTGTAATCCCAACACTTTGAGAGGCTGAAGGAAGATCGCTTGAGCCCAGGAGTTCAAA
The DNA here is from genome assembly GCF_000001405.40 of Homo sapiens. Lineage (NCBI taxonomy): Eukaryota > Metazoa > Chordata > Mammalia > Primates > Hominidae > Homo > Homo sapiens. Next base: position 86,466,370 of record NC_000010.11, read on the forward strand.
ACCAGCCTGGGCAACATGGCGAAAACCCCATCTCTACTAAAAATACAAAAGTTAGCCAGATATGGTGGCATACACCTGTAGTTCCAGCTACTTGGGGGGCTGAGGTGGGAGGATCACTTGAGCCCAGGGGTTTGAGGCTGCAGTGAGCTATGACTGCACCACCGCATTCCAGCCTGGGCAACAGAGCAAGACGCTATCTCAAAAAACAGTAATTATTACTATTATTATAAAATAAAAATTAAAAAAGAAAATGGTGGATGTAAATCCTCTGAAATGTTTATCCCTGAAATCCATGGAGAATAAGAATTCAAAATTCCTAATATACATGTAGTTTCTACCTTTTTTTTGAGACAATCTCACTCTGTCACCCAGGCTGGAGTGCAGGGGCACGACCTCGGCTCACTGTACCCTCAAACTCCCCGGGCTCAGGATATTTCTCTGACCTAAGCCTCCTGACTAGCTGGGACTACAGGTGCACACCACCATATCTGGCTGATTTTTTTGTATTTTCTGCAGAGCTGGGGTTTCACCATGTCACCCAAGACGGACCCAAACTCCCAGGTTCAAGCAATCCACCTGCCTTGGCCTCTCAAAATGCTGGTATTATAGGCATGAACCACTGTGCCCGGCCCCTTTTTTTTCTTAAAAAATAAAGAGAAAAGGATTAGACAAAATGCAACAGAAAATGTGCAACTATTTATTGGGCAAAAAGCCTAAATACAGATAAACTAGTTTAGGAAGTTCAGGCAAGGAATGAAATTATGCTCAGATCTAAACATAAGAAATTTGCCAAACTGTAAACCAAGGTTAGAATTAAAATAATTTGCCCACAGTCACACAGCTACTGCAACTAACCAAAGACTTTCTGAAAGTAATTCTCATCTTAGAAGGAAGGAAGAAGGAACCCACCGTTATATTTTCTAGATCAAGATGCTTGTTGTGTACAGTTTCACAGAGCCTTCGGATTTTTTCTTTAATTTTGTTCATGTCTTTTTCATTCAGTAGCTTGGCTGATGAAGCATCTTGTTCCAGTTCCAAAAGTCGAATCATTAGATCTAAGCTAGCTCTATCAAGATCCATGTTCAAACGATCTCTACTCAGTATATACATGAGGGCAGCTGTACAGAGGGACAGATTCTTCAACAGGCCAAAAAAAGAAAAGAAAAAAAACTTCATGTAAGCAACTCCTGACATCTCAGGAAATAAGACTATTAATGACTTTTGTTTACAAGTTAATGCTTAAAACTTATATTACTAACCATGTTGGAAACTTCAAAAACGTTTTATTCAGCGGTCCCTCTAAAAAATTTTTTTTTTTTTTTTTTGAGATGGAGTCTTACTCTGTCGCCCAGGCTGGAGTGCAGTGGCGCAATCTCGGCTCACTGCAGCTTCCACCTCCCAGGTTCAAGCGATTCTCCTGCCTCAGCCTCCTGAGTAGCTCGGACTACTGGTGTGTGCCACCACGCCCAGCTTATTTTTTGTATTTTTTTAGTAGAGACGGGGTTTCACGGTGTTAGCCAGGATGGTCTCGATCTCCTGACTTCGTGATCCGCCCACCTCGGCCTCCCAAAATGCTGGGATAACAGGTGTGAGCCACCACGCCCGGCCCCTCTCTAAAAATATTCTGAAGAAACATGTTTAAAAAAATAAAATGCTGTTGCTTAAAATTTACCTTTCAATGGATCCTCCATATATGAATGCCTGATAGCTCTAAGAATATATGCTGAGTTACATATTTCTTAGGCTATACTATGCTAAGAGTTTATAAAACATTTTTGCAGATATGTGTGTGTGAGTATATATATATAAAAACCTTATTATGATATACCTCATTTTTTTTCCTTTTGAGACAGGGTTTCACTTTGTCATCCAGGCTGGACTGCAGTGGCACATATCAGCTCACTGTAGCCTTGACCGTCTGGACTCAAGCAATCCTCCCCACCTCAGCCTCCCAAGTAGCTGGGACAACCGGCAGGCGCCACCATGCCCAGCTGATATTTTTGTATTTTTTGTGGATGGGGTTTCACCATGTTGCCGAGGCTGGTCCTGAACACCTGAGGCCAAATGATCCACCCACCTTGGCCTCTCAAAATGCTAAGATTACAGGCGTGAGCCACCACGCCCAGCCTATTCTTTATGATACAGCAGATAGTCATATTTCAGTTTAAAATCAATAATTTAAATAATAATTTTAAATCTATATCATACCCTTAACACATTTTTTCCCCTGGAAAACACAGCTGTGTTTACATCTGTATATAAACCCAGGATGCTGAAATATACATATTTGGATTTCTTTAAAATAAACCAATCGCCAGGCGTGGTGGCTCACACCTGTAATCCCAGCACTTTGGGAGGCCAAGGTGGGCAGATCACCTGAGGTAAGGTGATCAAGACCAACCTGACAACATGGTGAAACCCCATCTCTATTAAAAATACAAAAAAATTAGGCCGGGCGCAGTGGCTCACGTCTGTAATCCCAGCACTTTGGGAGGCTGAGGCAGGTGGATCACCTAAGGTCGGGAGTTTGAGACCAGCCTGGCCAACATGATGAAACCCTGTCTCTACTAAAAATACAAAAAAAATTAGCTGGGCATGGTGACGCACCTCTGTAATCCCAGCTACTCAGGAGGCTGAGGCAGGACAATCGCTTGAACCCGGGAGGCAGAGGCTGCAGTGAGCCAAGATTGTGTCACTGCACTCCAGCCTGGGCGACAGAGCAAGACTCTCTCAAAATAAATAAAATAAAATAAAATAAAATACAAAAATTAGCCTGGCGTAGTGGCAGGAGCCTGTAGTCCCAGTTACTTGGGAGGGTGAGTTGTGAGGATCGCTTAATAAAATAAAACAATCAAGTCTGGTTGAACCAAATAATTTTTTTTTTTTTTTTTTTTTTTTTTTGAGACGGAGTCTCGCTCTGTCGCCCAGGCTGGAGTACAATGGCACCATCTCAGATCACTGCAACCTCCGCCTCCCAGGTTCCAGCAATTCTTGTGCCTCAGCCTCCTGAGTGGCTGGGATTACAGGCAAGCACCACCACGCCCGAGTAATTTTTTGCATTTTTAGTAGAGATGGGGTTTCACCATGTTGCCCAGGCTGGTCTCGAACTCCTAAACTCAGGCAATCTGCCCACCTCAGCCTCCCAAAGTGCTAGGATTATAGGCATGAGCCACCGCACCTGGCCAGGACACTCTACTTACACAATCTAAATACTGAAGGTGAAATATTTTAGATAAATGTGAATATAAAAAAAGGTCTTACATTTGGGATATTCCAACACTTGAGATATTCTGTACTTAAACCTATTTCAATATACAGAAAACACAACCATCTAAAGATTTAAACTTTGAGCCCCCAGAAGTAGAGAAGCATCAGACCAGGTGTCTGATTAAATGTTTATACAGCAAATTATTTTTGGAAATTAGGATGCATTGTAAAGGCCATGGGGGATCCACTGCCCTTAAAAATCACACTGTAATGTCTAAGTTCACTGTTAACTGCATAACAAAGCAAACGAATTCTCTTTTTTGTTTGTTTTTAAGAGATGAGGTCTCACTAGGTTTCCCAAAATGGATCTGAACTCCTGAGCTCAAGAGATCCTCCCTTAGTCTCCAGAGTAGCTAGGACTTACGAATGCACACCACCTTGCCCAGCAACAAACTAACTTCTTTTTTTTTTTTTGAGACAGAGTCTCGCTCTGTCTCCCAGGCTGGAGTGCAGTGGCACAACCTCAGATCACTACAACCTCCACCTCCCGGGTTCAAGCAATTCTCCTGCCTCAGCCTCCCAAGTAGCTGGGATTACAGGTGCCTGCCACCACACCCAGCTAATTTTTTGTATTTTTAGTAGAGTCAGGATTTTACCATGTTGGCCAGGCTGATCTCAAACTCCTGACCTGAGATGATCTGCCCACTTTGGCCTCCCAAAGTGCTGGGATTACAGGCATGAGCCACCGCGCCCAGCCCAGAAGATGCAGTATTAAATTAATTATCACCTAATCTGTATTTAGAACATAATTTCTTTAACAAAAATATAGTAAGGCCATCTCAAAATACTACTAATGCTAATAATTAGCAATGATGGTTACTTTCTTCTAATTTTGGAAAATGTTAAACCTAATAACTTTTGTTATGTTTATCATTATGCAAAAGCATCAAAGGCAAGGAAAATGAAGAAATTATTCCTTATCACAATGAGGCCATGTTCCAGATTCAACACTGGACAAAAACGTTTCTAAAAAATTAGGGCTGCATTTCCAAACCAGTTTTTTTCCATTCATTAGTATCAAATAATATTAAAAGATTCTTCTCAGTGCTTTCTGATTATAGAGAAAATTATGCTTACAAAATTCTGTATCAATATACTACATTAGCTAAGATAACAAAATACAATTTTAAAAGTATAAAATGACACATTAAGAAAAAATGTTTTCACGTTTTCATGATAAAATAAGTATTAAGCAAAAGCTTCTGGCCATAAGCACTACAAATTTAGCAAATAAAATGAACTCAATCTATAATTAGGATATATTTATAGAATATTCAGTGAAGATATTTTTGATAGCCAAATAGACTAGTAGTTTTCAACATAAGGCTTCTCAATCTCAGAAACTTAAAAAATACCTGATGGTGCTGGGAATCATCCAAGGTTTTAAAGACCATTGCTACCATCCCATGTGCTCTCAGGTGCATTCGAAAACTGGGCATGGCACATTTAGTAGCCAAGCTAATAACACTACAAGAAAATAGAGCAGGTTAGGGGGGCTGGAAACAGCTAGTACATTAGTTTTGAGTTTGTGTAATACCAAAACCAGCAAATAGGAAGGGGGTAAAAGGGTCAAAGCATTGCCCATACATGATCACAATATAAAAACCATAGGCAAAACACATTATTAAAAATATACTGATGCCTAGTGCATGATTAGGTACACTGTATTTTAAAAAAATAACGTAATTGTCTTTAGTGCATTCCTTACGTTACTACTACCACCATTAAAAGCTTAAAATCTGAGCTGCCTTTCATTAATACTTCTGATAAAAATCACAATTAATTAATTATATTTGATTGGATATACTCCAAATGACTGAAAAATTTAATCAAAATTATAGTATTCAATCAATCCATTAGGAAATACAAAAGATCATCTTTTTGAGCATTTGGGTACAAATGTAAGCGTCCAGATCACAATATGCTTAAATAAATCTAACTTATTACTTGAACATCAGAGGTAAAAAGAACTTAAAAGATTTTTTTTTAATTATTTACTTTATTTCTTTCTGGTAATTTTTTCTTTCTTGTTTTTGGAGACAGGGCCTCACCTCACTCTATCATCCAGGCTGGAGTGCAGCAGCATGATCACGGGCTCAAGCCATCCTGCCACCTCAGCCTCCCAAGTAGCTGGAACTACAGGCATATGCCACCATGACTCATTAATTTTTTATTTTTTGTAGACATGGGGTCTCACTATGTTGCCCAAGGTGGTCTCGAACTCTTGGACACACATGATCCTCCCAACTTGGCTTCCCAAAATGCTGGGATTATAGGTATGAGCCACCACACAAGGCAAAAAGATGCTTTAGCGTAATTTTTTTTTTTTTTTAAGCTCTTGAAAACTGAAGCCTATGCTATATTAAAAAGGCTCTCATCACCCAGCTTTCCCTCTTATCATGCAGAATCAAATTCTTTATAAAGAAATGGATAGCATTTTAACATATCACTGGCTATACATACTACCCCATCATAACAAAATAAAAAATGTTTGGCTTTTTGGACAACACCTAGTTGAAAAAATTTAATACAGCATGCACATAATTGTAAAATATAAAAATAAGATCTTACCTAAGGCAACGTGTGTTTAGAGGCTGAGTGCTCTTTAAGCCACTTAACAAGTACTCAATGTCATCAGTGAACTCTTGATTTTCACCAAATTCTACAACATCGTTGAAGTGCTTCACGTGCTGAACAACAGTATATAACTGCCAAGAAAAAAAAAGTTCACCCCTTTTTAACTAGGAACTAGCATATTTAAATCTATGGGCTCACTGTACTTTACATAAGTGCATAAAATAGTTCATTAGATGGCAACAAAAATATTTTTAGAACAAGGATGATGGTAGGACAAAAGAAGTTTGTGGTTCAAAACTGAGTATCAGTATACTGATATTTGTTGAAGATATTAAATGGCTAAATGTTACATACAAAAATCTATCAACATGCAGTAAACACTGTATATGGCTGCTTACTTCTTTGTCTTCTCGTCTGCATTTCAGTGCAGTAACTATATCTTGGTAGGGCTGAGTAGGTATTGTCACAGTTTTTATCACTTTGGATGGTGGTGCAGGAGCCTTAAAAACTCCATCATCTTTTTGATTTGGTTCCTTTGAAGACAGCCTCACCTATTAATAAAGGTATTAAATTAGTTGTTCTAAATAAATATATAAAAATAGGAACGTCTCATCTATCTGGCAAATTCAGCTTCAAAAAAAAGTAAATAAAGCTTTTTAAAAAGCAGGGAGCAGGGAGGCCTCTCAAAGGTCTTTAGAAATACTTTGAATTCCATGCACTAACAGGTAAGACATATGTATATCTGCACACAGAAGAACCACTCAAGGATTTCTTCTGGTCTTTTTTAAACTTTTTATTTCACACAATTTGTCGTTTGTCTCTAGTACCATTAGAAAGACTAAAGAACCACAACTGCATGCAAAAATAGCTTTCATAAGCAGAAAGGGACAGGACAGAAAAACCAGACAGAGTCAAAAGAATTTTAGTAGCACAAGAGTGTGAAGTAGTTTAGGGTAAAAATAAATAGCTATAACAGGAGCATGCTATATTACTACTAATATACAAAATGATTTCTTTATACTATCAAAAGGAGTCTAATCAGTTTAAGAAGACAGGGAACTGTACATTATACTTTAGAAAGACTTCTATCCCCAAATTTCTTATTGTTATAAAGAACTAAGTTACTTGATAACTCCAGATGACTGAAGCTTTACTGTTAACCTAGAAATCATGTATGATATTACCAGTCATTCTGGAGAAAATAAGTTGCTAAGAATCTTTTTCCTAATGTTTTGGATTGAAAAGTATTACTAGAATACAGGAAGAGATTTGTCTCTGAAAAGCAAATTAAGCACTGAAAGCCACTTAGAAATATATATAGGATGTAATACACAACATAGCTCTTATACAAACATCAAATATGGACAATCTTGCTCTTAAACACTAAATACTATAAATTCCATGAAATGTGGGTCATGAGTAACAAGAGCCTTATTTTTTATGGCTTTCATTGTTTAACCTAGCAGCACTAGAATTTCTGCTATCTTACTGACAATCCTCAGTTTTCCAATGAATTAAACTGAAACTAATAAGTTTCAGTAAAGAAAGCCAAAATAAACTGTTAAATAGAAAAGTCAAAGATTTACAAATTATGAATTAAAAGAGTAACTGCTTAATTTATAGCTTATTAAAAAACACAAAATAAATAAGTACAGTTCACTTACTGTGACACTCTGAGGTTTTACTACTGGTGGCCCAGGCAGTTCTTCTGAATCTGGATGATTCCAATGTCTGGCATTATATACAGCTTTTGTGGGTGACTAGAGAAATGAGAGAAAGATCAACTGCTTCCATCCTTATAAAAGACTCTCAACTAAAAATCATAAAGAATAATTTATATGCATAAACATGTCCTAGAAACAGCAGGATGGATACTATCTGGGAACAGTCCCACCATAATTCCCATTCTCATGTCTATGGCAAATATAATCACTGTAGTACTAGGTCACAAAATCAGTAATTAGTGCTCTGTGCAACTATGACTAACCAAGAAAAGATGGCACTTGAAAGTAAACCTAGGCCAGACATGGTGGCTCACACCTGCAATCCCAGCACTTTGGGAGGCCAAGGCGGGTGGATCACTTGAGGTCAGGAGTTTGAGACGAGCCTGGTCAACATAGTGAAACCCCATCTCTACTAAAAATAAAAAAAATTAGCTGGGCATGGTGGCAGGCATCTGTAATCCCAGCTATTTGGGAGGCTGAGGCAGGAGAATCACCTGAATCCGGAGGCAGAGGTTGCAGTGAGCTAAGACTGTGCCACTGCACTCCAGCCTGGGTGACAGAGTGAGACTCCGTCTCAAAAAAAAAAAAAAAAGGTAAACCTCTTGCTAGGCTTACTAAGTAATCAACACATTTAACTCAACATGGGCTGGGCATGATGGCTCATGCCTGTAATCCCAGCACTTTGGGAGAGTGAGGAAGGAGGATCACTTGAGTCCAGGAGTTCAAGACCAACCTGGGTGAGCCCCAGAGTTCAAGACCAACCTGGGTGACAAAGCAAGACTCCGTCTCAAAAAAATTTAAAAAATAGTAATGATGATAATAATAATAGTTCAATGGGTTCTTTGGCAAAACTTTATTCTTCCTACTACCAATTCATGCCTCACAATCTTCCAACAATGGGAATCCAGCAGTTTATGACAGACAATGCGCTCATTTAAAGCAAACCACTGCAGCCAGCTGTGTGCCACCACTCAAGAGTTCTCAAATTTTATCAAGGTAAATATAATACATATACCACATATTCCAAGACACAGTGGGATCCAAAAAAGTACCATGTAATAACATACATGATTTCTGCAGCAAAATGTTACACTAAGCAGGACAAAGATGTAAAGTCCCTCACACATCAATTGAGGTTATTGTGCTGCCCTATCAATTTACTTAAACTTCCAGGGGATTTTCAGTTTTAACACTGAATTTCCGAATTGAGAATAAATGACAGTAAACCTACAAAATCAAATCAAGTAAAAGAACAAAACCCTCACTTTCAAGAGAAAACTGCATAATTACAAAGACAAAATAGAAAGGTAACACCTCATCCTCTCTATCCTCTACAAAAGTGACGTTAAATTATGTTTTGAACTTCAAATACATGGTTTGGACAAATTAGAGATTTTCTCTTATGAAACACATCTTATTTTCAGTACAACAAAAATAAGAAGACAAGTGGAAAATCATACTTCAAGACCGTCAAAAAATCTACATTAAAAAACTTAACTATATCCCCTTACTAGCTGCACTGAAGCAACATAATTAGCATTAAGCATTAGTGTGAACTAATCGTTAGCTTTTAATATATTATCTCTAATAAAGTGGAAAAATTCTCATTTGGATTGTGTACACAAACCCATCATTCATAAATGCCAGGTTTGCATAACATGATGATGCATTAGCAATCTGAAACAATTTATGCACTCATGCAATGACTTGATCTGGCTTCCTGAGACACAACACATAAAGTGGACTGAACATAAATTTTAAAACCAACCTCTCTATTCCTTCCATTCTTTTCAAAGACCAGCTATGTAACTTGTGTGTCTGCTAGTTATGGATCCCTAATTTGAACTACCTTTAGTACCTCAAGCATACTCAGAGCCCAGGCTCTGGTAACAACAGCCTTTTGGCAAGAATGAGTGCCTCAAAGCTCAAGCATTTTACTTCTTTTTAAAAAGCATTGATTGGGCTAGGCACAGTGGCTCATGCCAGTAATTGCAGCACGCCTCTAGGCCGAGGCAGGAAGCAGATCACTTGAAGCCAGGAGTTCACAACAGCCTGGGCAAGAAAGCAAGATCCTGTCTCTACAAAAAATAAAATTAAAGAAATTAAAGAAGCAAAAAGAGAAATTATTTTTAAAAAGCACTGACTAGGCCGGGCACGGTGGCTTACGCCTGTAATCCCAGCACTTTGGGAGGCTGAGGCGGGCGGATCACGAGGTCAGGAGATTGAGACCATCCTGGTTAACACGGTGAAACCCCGTCTCTACTAAAAATACAAAAAATTAGCGGGGCACGGTGGTGGGCACCTGCAGTCCCAGCTACTTGGGAGGCTGAGGGAGGAGAATTGCTAGAACCCGGGAGTCGGAGGTTGCAGTGATCTGAGATGGTGCCATTGCACTTCAGCCTGGGCGACAGAGCGAGACTCTGTCTCAAAAAATTAAAACACTGTAAGAGTGCCTGAAAGAATATGTGCTGTCGGGTGTGGTGGCTCACGCCTGTAATCCCAGCACTTTGGGAGGCCAAGGCAGGCGGATCGACTGAGGTCAGGAGTTTGAGACCAGCCTGGCCAACAGGATGAAACCCCGTCTCTACTAAAAATACAAAAATTAGCCAGGCATGGTGGTGAGTAACTGCAGTACCAGCTACTCAGGAGGCTGAGGCGGGAGAATCAGTTGAACCCGGGAGGTGGAGGTTGCAGTGAGCCGAGATTGCGCCACTGCACTCCAGCCTGGGCGACAAAGCGAGACTGTCTTTAAAAAAAAAAAAAAAAAAGTGCTTTGTAAGTATTAAATGTTATTATTAATTGTTATGTGATGATGTGCTGCTAGGTTTAAGTCTAACACATTCGTAAGAAAACAGAAATATATAGCCTACCTACCTAATAAAGAATATGATAAACAAATGGAATAACTGATGTGTCTATTCATCTCAAAAGTCCTTGAAGCATAACAGCATACAGAATAATTGAACAATTTATATTAAAAGGTCATATTAAAGGAACTTTTGGTTATGCTGTTGAACAAGGCAATTTAGTAATACTATTAGTTTTAAAGCTTTTGATGATGTTTTACCATTTTAATACTAATAAGCAATCTAAAGGGAAGTAGTCCAATTAGAACTTTTTCTTGACTTTTATTTCAGTGTCTTACAAGATTAATATAGGGTTTATTATGGGAGGAGAGATATTGAAGACACATCTAATTAAAAATTAAAATAAGTAATATCTGTATATGGCTAACATACACATATGGCAGGGAGAGGAAGAAACAGGGAAAGAGAGAAAAGGGAACACTGACTGAGCTCTTTACATCATTCCAAAACAGTACAGTAATTCCACATGCTCCTAAGTGAACTGTGTATGTAAAGCACAAAACAGTGGTATGTCACAGGCTAATTTCACTCAGTGGAAGTGATTGTGTGTACAATATATGTAAAAGTATCATACAGCAATCAACTTTCCATGGAAAATCAAAAATCACCCTTACCATTTAGCAACCTAGCTAAATGTTAACAGAGTCATTCTGATTGCACCACCAGGCTTGTCTTTAATCTTCTTAATTTTATTCTTGTTTGAAAAGCAGATACAGGGCCAGGTACCGTGACTCATGCCTGTAATCCCAGCATTTTGGTAGGCCGAGACAGGTGGATCACCTGAGGTCAGGAGTTGGAGACCAGCCTAACCAACATGGTGAAATCCCATCTCTACTAAATACAAAAAATTAGCCAGGTGTGGTGGCAGGCACTGTAGTCCCAGCTACTTGGGAGGCTGAGGCAGGAGAATCGCTTGAACCCAGAAGGTAGAGGCTGCAGTGAGCCAAGATTGCACCATTGCACTCCAGCCTGGGCAACAGAAAAGCAGATACAGGCCGGGTGCAGTGGCTCACGCCTGTAATCCTAGCACTTTGGGAGGTCAAGGTGGGCGGATCACTTGAGGTCAGGAGTTTGAAACCAGCCTGGCCAACATGGTGAAACCCCGTCTCGCATGGTGGTAGGTGCCTGTAATCCCCGCTACTCAGGAGACTAAGGCAGGAGAATTGCTTGAACCCGGGAGGCGGAGGTTGCAGTGAACTGAGATCGTGCCATTGCACTCCACCCTGAGCAACAAAAGCGAAACTCTGTCTCGGAAAAAAAAAAAAAAGAAAGAAAGAAAAGCAGATACAGCATATAAACCAGATACCTAAACTTTTTTCTGTATTAAAAAAAAAAAAAATTGTGGCTAAGCATGGTAGCTCTCACCCATAATCCCAGCAAGTTGGGAGGCCAAGGGAGACAGATGTCTTGCGCCCAGGAGTTTGAGACAGCCTGTGCAACACGGTGAAACTCAGTCTCTACAAAAAATACAAAAATTAGCTGGGAATGGTGGCACGTGCCTGTGGTCCCAGCTACTCGAGACGCTGAGGTGGGAGGATCACCTCCTGAGTCCAGGAAGTGGAGGCTGCAGTGAGCCAAGATCACACCACTGCACTCCAGCCTGGGTGACAGAGCGAGATCCTGTCTCCAAAAAAAAAGGATGGATTCTGTGTGCTAGGTAAATTAATGAGAAAAATACTTAGAACAAAATAAGCAAAAAGTTCATAATAATAATCTAACATTCTAAATATTCAGAACCATTTTAGCATATTTCAATACTAGTAATCTTAAATATATTATTCTTTTGTATTCAGTGCTCCAGGGGCATAAGCAAGAAAAACCTCAAATGTGACATTCCATTAAAGCTAAAGAAAAAATATTCCACTGACAAACTGATGGGGCATTTCTTCATGAGAGATAATATAGTTTCTATAAAAACAATGGATAAAAGTTGGTTTTTACAATAACACCACAAAGGTTGTTGTTAACAGACTGGATTACTGAATCACAACTATAAACCAGAGGAAAAGGCCGGGCGTGGTGGCTCACGTCTGTAATCCCAGCACTTTGGGAGGCCGAGGTGGGCAGACCACTTGAGGTCAGGAGTTTGAGACCAGGCTGTCCAACATAGTGAAACCCCATCTCTACTAAAAATACAAAAAAATTAGCCGGGTGTGGTGGCACACATCTGTAATTCCAGCTACCCCGGGAGGCTGAGGAAGGAGAATCACTTGAGCCTTGGGAGATGGAGGTTGCAGTGAGCCAAGACTGCACCACTGCACTACAGCCTGGGTGACAGAGTGACACTCCATCTCAAAAAAACAAAAACAAACAAAAAAAACAAAACAACAACAACAAAAACAGAGGAAAGAAAGCATTCCTTCCTGAAAATCTAAGAGGAAATGACATGTTATCCCCCACTGGGCTGGCTCATAAAAGCCAGGAAAAAAAGGAATGGGTTTCTTTTGTTCTTGTTTTGTTTTGTTTTTGAGACAAAGTTTCTCGCTCTTACTGCCCAGGCTGGAGTGCAATGGTGTGATTTCGGCTCACTGTAACCTGCGCCTCCCGGGTTCAAGCGATTCTCCTGCCTCAGCCTCCCGAGTAGCTGGGATTACAAGCGCCAGCACGCCTGGCTAATTTTTGTATTTCTAGTAGAGATGGGGTTTTGCCATGTTGGCCAGGCTGGTCTTGAACTCCTGACCTCAGGTGATCCACCTGCCTTGGCCTCCCAAAGTGCTGGGACTACTGGCGTGAGCCACAGCGCACAGCCAAAAAAAAGGAATGTTTTTAAGCCATAAATACTTTATGAACAAGAAGAGCAAATTTATTTATACGTTTTAAAAACTATGTGCTATATGAAGACAAAATAGTAAGCTGATAAGAATTCATCCAGCTTTATCCACCCAAGGATATCACCAGTAATTCAATCAATCAGCACGAAGTACAACTAAATGAACTCTGAAGAAGTACTGCAATGCATAACTATGTGTGTATGTGTGCACAGTACTTTAGCGGCAATTCAAAAGGGGGAAGTAGAAAAAAACAATTTGGATCTGGATTGTCAAAAATTTCTTTAAAGGATTTATAAAAATCCTTTAAAAAAGACAATTGGAATCAGAAGCAGGAGAAGAAAAGTCTTACAAAGAATCTTTGAGCTCTTTACAACTTCCTTTTAAGCATAATCATACAATCTCAAATGGTCTTAAACTATAAAAAACATAACACATGTTAAATATCCAGAGTATTGAATTATTTGAAGGAAGACTACAGAAACTCCTAAATTAAAACCAACAGCATCTGTACTATCAAGAATTAGAAATTGTAATATGCAATATGAAACACTGTAGAGAATCTAATCCACATCTAACGAGAAGAAATAAAGCTGCAAAGTCTTTCTTCTCTGCCCGAATCAACTGCATACAACAGGTAGTAATGACTTTTAAAGACAGCTGCCATTTTTATGAAAAAATTGTCAATTCCTATCTTCATGAAGAACAATGCACACCACTACTGTGAGTAGAACTTCAAAAGCATAATTGGTAGCCACGGTTTTATTAAAAGTAGGTAACTGTCACTTCAGAATATCACCAGGAAATAGCATAACTTGGTCATAAGTTCTAAAAAGTCCATGCAAAAAACCATAAAATTCAGTAGTTGGCATTTTGTGAGAACATAACTTAGCCTATAATTCAACAATTAAAACTAAAAGATACTAGTATGAGAGCCATGACCAAAATCAGCTAAAATAACAGTTCTCACAACTAAAAATACCATTAAATATTGATGACAAGTTGTATTAGAAAGATGATTATCAAATTTAGAAATAAAAAAACCGGAAGCTATAAATATCTTGAGACAACACCACCTGTGATTAGAGAATATCCATTCTCCCCTTCATTTTCCTTTAAAAACATTTAGCTGGACAAATGCTCACATAGATTTCTCAACATCTTGATGCTTGCATGGGCATGTGACTAAGCTCTTGCCAATGAAGTGTGAAGAGAAGTGAGGTACACCTTCTGGGTCCTGGCTTCTAGGGATGGTTCATTGCCTTCCCTTCTAGTTCCTTCTATCTTAATCAATAGTCCAGAAATGGTAGAATACCACCACACAAGGGAAACTTGGGTCCCCTACACTGCAGCAATTTGAAAATTGTCCAGAGATAAACAACCAGAGACTGGTAAGCCAGAGAAAAATAAGCTATCTATTAATAACTAATTTGGGATTTCTTTTACAACATCTGAACCAGATCCTAAGAAGCCACCTTTGAACAACAGTAAATTGAGATTAGAAACAAATAATAACAGGACATGCTGAAAGTATAAAATTTTGCCAATACTGGATGTGGGTAAACTATGCACATACAACGTTAAAAAGAAACAATTTAAAAGATATAAACAGTCAACATGTAAGAGAATGGAGGAAGACAGAAACTAAAGAAAAAAAATCTAAAACCAATCTTTAGAATTATAAAAATATATACTGGGGAAGATCTACATGAACTGATAGTGATTTCCAAGAAATATTACTAAATTTTAAAGGAGAGACAGTGCAAAACAGGACATATAGATGCTACTTTTTATGTAAGAAAAAAAAAATTTTTTTTTGAGACAGCGTTTCGCTCTTGTTGCCCAGGCTGGAGTGCAATGGCGCGATCTTGGCTCACTGCAACCTCCGCCTCCCAGATTCATGCGATTCTCCTGCCTCAGCCTCCCGAGTAGCTGGGATTACAGGCATGTGCTACCACGCCCAGCTAATTTTGTATTTTTAGTAGAGACGGGGTTTATCCATGTTGGTCAGGCTGCTCTCGAACTCCTGACCTTAGGTGATCTGCCTGCTTTGGCATCCCAAAGAGCTGGGATTACAGGCGTGAACCACCGCGCCGGGCTGAAAAATTTTAGTCTGTTTATTTTTATATAAAAAAGAAACATAGAAAAGAAGCAGCAGAAAACAATAAAATTGGTTCCCTACAAGGGTGGGTGACAGACTGGAACACATCTCAGATGAAGTGACCTCATTAAACTTACCTTTTTATATAGTTTTGACTTTTATAATGTTGTACACATTAAAAAAAAAAAAGTAAGAATGGAAACGGAAAACCCCAACACTTAAAGCAAACCAGAACAAAGAAACCTACTCATATTTCACATGGACAGCAAACACTGTGAAGAGAAGCCAGACAAACCACCCAATGCACTGACCAGTCAAGAGGCAGGCAGGCAGAAATAATCCCAAGTAATTTGTGAACATATTATTTGACTTTATACCCTCAATCTTGGGCAGGGTGGAGTAGGGCAAGGGCAGAATTGCCAAACAATTCCTGAAAATTTTTGTAAATTTACTTATTGTAGTGGAATGGGCAAAGCAATTCTGTACCTATTTAGATATAAGTTGAGTAAATGTGCTGCTGCTGTTGTTCACTGTGAAAAAGACATAAGGCCAGAAAGAACCCTGGGCTCTCACTGTGAAAAAGACAGAAGGCAAGAAATAATCCTGTGAAAATGCATGGATACTGAAGATTATGTGTGAATTCATGATTTCTAGATCACTTATGTACACAGGCATGAATCCACATATATATGTGAAGGTATATTTGTATGTGAATGTATGTGAATATATATGTATGTATGTAATATATGTATACGTGCATGTTTCCTATGCCCGTTTGCTAAAAGCGCCAAGAAGCAAAGGACACACCTAGGGCCCATTATCATAGTCTCTAATACCATTCTCCACTAAAGAGAATCATTACTCCTCGGAGAATGGACCTGATCCCGAGCCTACAGCTGACCAGGTACAAGATGAACCTAGAACACTGTGTTACACCAGGAAGAAAGAAGTTTTCACAAAATGATGGGGACATGGCAGACAAATCAAACAGCCAGCTTAATGAGGCTCTACTAGCCAAATCAGGACAAATTTAGGCCCCAAATAATTAAATACAGTAATAGATTATAAACCATTTGGGAAAAAGTAGGGATTCACTAAAGAAGTCAAATTCATAGGAACAAAGAGTGGAAAGGTGGTTGCCAGGGGCTGGCAGGTAGGGGAAATGGGATTTTGGTCAAAGGGTAGAAACTTCCCATTATAAAATGATTAGCTTCTGGAGATCTGACTTATAGCATGGTAACTACAGTTAATAATAATGTACTTTACAGAGTTATGTACCACATAACAAGGTTTTGGTCAATTACAAACTGCATATGTAACGGTGGTCTCATAAGATTTTAATGGAGCTGAAAAATTCCTAACATTTAGTGACATCTTAGCACAATGCATTAGGCGAGTGTTTGTAGTGATGCTTTTGTAAACAAACCTACTGTGCTGCCAGTCCTATAAGGGTACAGTACATACATGCCAGGTGCGGTGGCTCACGCCTGTAATCCTAGCATTTTGGGAGGCCGAGGTGGGTGGATCACCCGAGGTCGGGAGTTTGAGACCAGCCTGACCAACATGGAAAAACCCTGCCTCTATGAAAAATACAAAATTGGCTGGGCGTGGAGGTGCATGCCTGTAATCCCAGGTACTCTGGAGGCTGAGGCAGGAGAATTGCTTGAACCTGCGAGGCGGAGGTTGCGGTAAGCTGAGATCCCACCACTGCACTCCAGCCTGGACAACAAGAGCAAAAACTCCATCTCAAAAAAAAAAAAGAGTATAGCACATACAATTAGATACAGTAAGTAACACTTGACAATGAATGACTATTAACAATAGCAGTTACTGGTTTATGTATTTACTATATTTTAACCATTTTAGAATATACTCCTTCTACTTGTAAAACAAAAAAAAGTTCATTGTAAAACCGCTTCAGACAGGTACTTCAGGAGTTATTCCAGAAGAAGGCTGGCATCATAGGAGATGACAGCTCCACGTATGTTAGTGCCCTTGAAGAACTTCCAGTGGCACAAGATGTGGAGGTGGAAGACTGTGAGAATTATGATCTTCACTCTGGATAGGTCTAGGCTGGTGTATCTTAAGTTTTTAACAAAAAAAAAAAAAAATTTTTTTTTCTTTTTTTTTTTTTTTTTTTTTTGGCAGTCTCACTCTGTTGCCCAGGCTGGAGTACAGTGGCGCGATCTCGGCTCCCGCCACCACGCCTGGCTAACTGTATTTTTAGTAGAGATGGGGTTTCACCATGTTGGCCAGACTGGCCTCAAACTCCTGACCTCAGGTGACCCACCTGCCTCAACTTCCCCAAGTGCCGGGATTACAGGCGTGAGCCACCGCACCCAGGCAACAAAAAAGATTTTAAAGTAAAATTAAAAATAATTTTAAAAATAGAAAAAAGCTTACGGAATAAAGATATAAAGAATGAAAATATTTTTGTACAGTAGTACAGTGTGTTTGTTTTAAGCTATGTGTTATTAACAATAGCCAAAAAGTTTTAAACAAATTAAAACGTTTATAATGTTAAAAAGTTACAGTAAGCTGGTTGGCCACAGTGCCTCACGTCTGTAATCCCAACACTTTGGGAGGCCAAGCTGGGAGGATTGCTTGAGCCCAGGAGTTCAAGACCAGCCTCGACAACATGGTGAAACCCCACCTCTACAAAAAATACAAGATCACCAGGGTGTGGTGATGTCCACCTGTAGTCCCAGCTACTAGGGACGCTGAGGTGGGAGGATCAGTTGAGCCCAGGAGGTCAAGGCTGCAATGAACAGTGTTCACACCACTGCACTTCAACCTAGGTGACAGAGGGAGATTGTCTCAAAACAAAAAGCAAAAAGAAAAAAACAAGCCATTACAGTAAGCTAAGGTTAATTTATCATTGAAGAAACTATTATAACTTTAGTGCAGCATACGTGTACAGTCTTTATAAAGTCTACAGTAGTGTCCTAAGCTTTCACATTCACTCACTGACTCCCAAAGAAACTTGCAATCCTGCAAGCTCCATTCATGGTTAAGTGTCCTATATAGGTGTACCATTTTTATATGTATTTTTACTGTACCTTTTCTAGGTTTAGATACACAAATACTTACCACTGTGTTACAACTGCCTACAATATTCAGTACGGCAACATATCAGAAGCAACAGGCTATACCATATAGCCTAGGTGTGTGGCAGACTATCCCATCTAGCTTTGTGTTCTGTGTGCACAATGAAATCGCCTAATGATGCATTTCTCAGAATGTAACCCTGTCATTAAGTAATGCGTGACTGTAGTACAAAATGGAAAAACAAATGAAATTCCAAACTATAAACACCCTAACACACACACAGGCACACACGCATGTGCGTGTGCTCACTCGTGCTCTCTCTCTCCCCTCCCCCGTCCCTCCCATCTCCCCCCACTCACCCCCCAACCCCTACCCCCCTCCTTCCCATCTATAACTATCAAATAGATGTCAGTGCTTTCCAGCTCCTGATAACCCCTGGCCACATTTTCTCACTTCAAGCCTCATTTCCTGGGAAATAAGAGTAAAATACTTTGAACTTTCAAACTTTAAAGGCACCTATACTAAAGAAAATACGATTAGGCAGGGCACGGTAGCTCACATCTGTAATCCCAGCACATTGGGAGGCCGAGGGAGGCGGATCGCTTGAGATCAGGAGTTCAAGACCAACATGGTAAAACCCCGTCTCTACTAAAAATACAAAAATTAGCCCTAGGACATGGTGGCACCCACCTGTAGTCCCAGCTACTCAAGAGGCTAAGGCAGTTGAATCACTTGAACCCAAGAGACAGAGATTGCAGTGAGCTGAGACTGCGCCACTGCACTCCAGCCTGGGCAACAGAGCGAGACTCCATATCCAAAACAAAAAAAAAGATTAACAGTACTTTCATTACTTATTAAAATCCTTCCAGAATAAAGTATTAAAGGAAAAAAAAGCACAAGAATTGGATCACAGAGAGAAAATAATTTACATTTTCCTAAGCCTTTTTGACTTATACAGATCAATGATTTTAATTACCTGGTTTAATATTTAAGTTAAATACTACCTATATAAAAGGAAGCAATATGCTTCTGGTTTGGAACAAACACACTGAGGAAATACTAAGACTGCTCAAAATTCCAGTAGGAAAAAACAATTCTGCCTTTTTAAGATACTCTTCTTATTCATTTTTGTATCCCTAGCACAGTGAAAGTCATGTAGTAAACACCAAACAAAAACAATGATGAAAAAAAGCCAACTAAAACCGACTCCCTCTCTTCCATACCTAGGCCCAGCCAGAACCTGCTCAGCTTCAACAACTCTTTGGATCACCCACCCAGGAGCTGTAAGTGAATGGCAGCAGCTATTAACTTCCACACTTTTGCCAGTTTCCCTCATCACCAATCCAATTGCTACAGTCATTCTTTTTTTCAGGCTTCATATCAATTAATATATCAGGTTTCTAGTACTTGAGAATATAGTGGATCTCACAATACCACATGATGACTGGATCTCAAGATAGTCAGTGAGTCCCCATACATATAACAAAGGTAACACTGGGTAAAACTGTTCTGACAGAAAAATATGCTATTTCATGAGAGTGGGTTCTAACTGCTAAAGGAAGACACTGTGTGGAAGGAACATTTGTTCTTGGGTGAGATGTGGGAGTACTTGTCCTTTAAAGTCTCTTCAATTGTAAGATTTTGCTAGTAAGTTGACAACCCGTATAAACTCATTTTATAAAACAAAAAATGAAGTTTATCAAAGTATAAAGCTATATTCAACTTTAAAACTGCAGGTTTATGTAATTACAACATTCTAAAACAACTAAATATGTAACCATGATTTATACTGATAAATTTTAATTGCCCAGAAGCCCCCTATCCAGTGTCATATTGAAGGACAGATGGGAAGAAAAAATTAAGTCCAGAATGTTCCTTAAAGAGTTAGACAAAAGATAGTGCTAGAAGGGCCTAGCTTTAAACCACAGGGGAATGATGAAAGTAAAGGTATAGGCTGGGCATGATGGCTTATGCCTGTAATCCCACCACTTTGGGAGGCCGAGACCGGCAGATGGCTAGACTCAGGAGCCCGAGACTAGCCTGGGAAAAATGGTGAAACCCCATCTCTACAAAAAATACAAAAAATTAGCTGGACGCAGTGGCGTGTGCCTATAGTCCCAGCTACCCTAGAGGCTGAAGCACAGGAATCACTTGAGCCCAGGAAGTCGAGGCTGCAGTGAGACATGATCACACCATTGCACTCCAGCCTGAGCAACTGGAGTGAAACCCTGTCTCAACAACAAAAAAAGAACGTAAAGGTATAAATATTGGAGAATTGAAACTGAGATTGACGTTATGGTTAGTTTCATCAATGACCCAGCAGCAGTCTTAACTGCAAAACAAGATGGCCAACATCCCAGGTAAAACACAACCAACCCCGCAAGCACTGAAAACCTGTACAGTCAGCCTGACTATACAGACAATGAATGCTTACAAGCAGGGATGACAGGCAGCAGCTGAATGAAAAGGTAGAAGTCAAACCACAAGCAGGGCAAGCAGAAGAAATAATCTAAGTATATCAGCACACATATGACAGCTACAAATAATGGCATGTAGGGAAGCTGTAGCCAGAAATCAGAAACTGGATGACATTTCATGAACGAAAGTACCAAGAACTGCTCAATGATCAAAACCTTACCTAGAAACAATAGGTAGTTAAATCCAGGTATGTTTCAACCCTATTTATCAAATCCTATCTTTCTTTTTCTCACCAGCAAGTGACAACTTTTCTGAATCATCATTTCAACTATGTTCTTACTACAAGTTTTCTTCACCCTCATCTTCTTTCTGAGTCAGCCCTCAATCCTGATATTAACAACTCTATATTCCTGGGAGACACTAAAGGAAATTCTCACAGACACGTATGCTTAAGAGTTCATGCTTTCTGGGCCAGGTGTGGTGGCTCACGCCTGTAATCCCACCACTTTAGGAGGCCGAGGCGGGTGGATCACGAGGTCAGGAGAGCAAGACCATCCTGGCTAACACGGTGAAACCCCACCTCTACTAAAAAATACCAAAAAAAAATTAGCCGGGCATGGTGGTGGGCGCCTGTAGTCCCAGCTACTTGGGAGGCTGAGGCAGGAGAATGGAGTGAACCTGGGAGGCGGAGCTTGCAGTGAGCTGAGATCGCACCACTGCACTCCAGCCTGGGCAACAGAGCAAGACTCTGTCTCAAAACAAACAAACAAACAAAAAAAGAGTTAATGCTTTCTAACACAGGGTAGAGGGGTAGGTAGAGGGAAGGGGGACCTCTTGGCCAGACTATGTCAGCAGAACTAAGGTGAGGAAGATGGTCAGCATAGTCAAGAAACTAGTTACATACATGACGATTGTGAAAATAAGAACACATGTGGAGGATAATGGAAACCAGATTTCTCTCGGCGAAGGGAATTAAAATATGGAAAATGAGAAGTCTAGAATAAAACGTGGTATTGGAAATATTAGTGTGAACTCATGGTTCTAAACATACACAGAATGACCATGAAATAGACATGTGTCTGTATATGAAACAGTATATGCATATTTTTACATGTTTCCTAGCTGTCTACTCAGAGAGGGCCTAGAAGCAATGACACTTCAGAAGAAATAACCATACCTAGTGAACAAGTATTTATTTCTAAATACCATTCTCCATGAACTGCAAACAGGAATCCTTGAAGAAATGGCTGACTCCAGGACTGGGAAAGTATAGGATGAGCCTGGAACATCTTAGAATGTCAGTAAGGTGCTCGCTTCGGCAGCACATATACAAAAACTGGAACGATACCAAGATTAGCATGACCCCTGCACAAGGATGACACACAAATTCGTAGAGCGTTAAAATTAAAGAAAATAGAATGTAAGTAAGAAAATGCAAAATAGTGGGACACATCAAAGCCAGCTTGAAGGAACATCCACCAACTAAATCTAAGAAGATCAAACTAATGACAGAACTATGATTTAAATAAATACAGTAACAAATGACTGAATAAAGTAGAAATCCATGTTCATACTGTAATAACTAAATGAATACATATAAAAATACATGCATATACTCTAACCTACATGGAGGGGAAGAAAATATCTACCTAACACTACAAGGCCAAATACTAATAACTGTAGAACAAATGCTATAATTAGGAAATCACATTTGGCAACCAATGTTGTAAAAACTGACTCAGGCAACAATCAATGCCAAAACTAGGGGGTGAAGTCTAATGAGGAAAGGTGACGAACCTGAAAAATACCATCTTAACCAAGTGATCAGTTAACATCAGTAGTAATGGTACAAGCTGACATTAAGTACCACCTGATGTGATGCAGCAAGAAAATGGCATCTCCTCTGTATTGCCATCAAAACTGTCTAATCTGAGTCTAATCATGAGAAAGTATCAAACACAAACTGAGGGACATTAGACAAAATAACTGGCCTTAACTCCGCCAAAGATGTAAAAACCATGAAAAGACCAGGAAACACAGATCCCATGGCACACTGAAGGAGAGTAGAGACTTGTGACAACTAAACTAACATGTGATTCTGGATTAGATCATGGGTTCTTTGTTTAGGAGACATGGGGGTGTAGTTTAGTTGTTTTGCTATAAAGAACATTACTGGGACAAATGCTGAAATTTGAATGGGATCTGTGGATTAGACAATGGATTACATCAATGTTAACTCTTTGGTTTTGATGGGTATTCTGTGGCAGTAAAGCAAAGTGCTCTTGTTTTTAGAAAGTACAAACTAGGTATTTAGGAGTAATGGGCATCATATCTGAAATACTATCAAGTCACACACACATACATATACAGCAATGGGAGGAGGATGCATTTCACTCCCCAGGAAACATTTGGCAATGTCCAAAGACATTTTGGGTTGTAACAACAAGGCAAGAGGGGGGTGCTATTGACAACTAATGGAAAGAGGCCAGGGATGTTGCTGAATATCCTTCAGTGTACAGGGCCAGCCTCCAAACCAAGAATTATTCAGTCCAAAATATCAATAGTGCTCAGGCTGAAAAACTGTGATAGAACAGGAGGAAAACTCCTGCCACTACAAGTCACAGACTACCTCTTTACCACCTGGAAATGGGGCCACTGGAATTCTTAAATCTAATCAGATTAGAGAGCCAGAAAATCCAGATACTCTCACTGGCCTACCATTAAAATGAATAAAGGTTTTGCCTTGAAAAAAAAAAAAAAAGGCTACTACGTTAAGACACAGCTTAAGACACAGTTTTGGCTTGGCACGGTGGGAGGCCAACTTTGGTACTTTGGGAGGCCAAGGTGGGCGGATCGCTTGAGGTCAGCAGTTCAAGATCAGCCTGGCAAACAGGTGAAACCCCATATCTACTAGAAATACAAAAATTAGCCGGGCATGGTGGTGCACGTCTGTAATCCCAGCTACCTGGGAGGCCGAGGCAGGAGAATTGCTTGTACCTAGGAGGCAGAGGTTGCAGTGAGCCAAGATCGCGTCGCCACACTCCAGCCTGGGGGACAGAGTGAGACTCCATCTCAAAAAAAAAAACACATACACACACACAGCTTTACTCATATTACATTTTTCAAATAAGCTCAGTCCCATAGCTCTTTTTGTTTTATAAATTAGCAATAATTTTCTTAATTTTCTGACACTATCACTTTGCATCCATCAACAGTAAATAGGTTTGCTGCTGACTCAAGTTGCCATGACCTGATTTACTTTAGGCCAGATAGATTCCTTTGTAATCAGGTCAAGTACATGTACACTGCTGCCTTCTAAGCTATGTTACTAGCAAAGAAATTACTCCAACATTAAGTTCATAACTAAGTTAAAAAAACAGAACACAAATAGGTACAAATGACTTCAACTGAATATAGAATTAACATATAAGCAGACAGTATAAAAATCATTTCAACAAATTTTAACACAGTACCATAACTGTTCATCCTAAGTAAACTAAAATCTAAGGAAAAAACCAATTACAAAGAAATTAAAATTCACTCATATTTATTGCTCATATTATTGGAATTATAATTTTGATATATATGTATGCTGTAGGATAAAGCAAATAAGTATACAATTCTGTGATGTTAAATTTGAAGGCCGGGCGCGGTGGCTCACACCTGTAATTCCAGCACTTTGGGAGGCCGAGGCAGGTGGATCACCTGAGGTCGGGAGTTCGAGACCAGCCTGACTAACCTGGAAAAACCCCATCTCTACTAAAAATACAAAAATTAGCTGGGCATGGTGGTGCATGCCTGTAATCCCAGCTACTCTGGAGGCTGAGGCAGGAGAAGCACTTGAACCCAGGAGGCGGAGGTTGCAGTGAGCCGAGATCATGCCACCGCACTCCAGCCTGGGTGACAGAGCAAGACTCTGTCTTAAATAAATAAATAAATAAATACATACATAAATAAATTTGAAAAAGAAACTATCAATAACATAAACTCATGGTTCTTTTTTTTTTTTTTTTTTTTTAAGACGGAGTCTCGCTCTGTTGCCCAGGCTGGAGTGCAGTGGCATGATCTCCGCTCACTGCAAACTCTGCCTCCCGGGTTCGCGCCATTCTCCTGCCTCAGCCTCCCAAGTAGCTGGGACCACAGGCGCCCGCCACCACACATGGCTAATTTTTTGTGTTTTTAGTAGAAACGGGATTTCACCGTGTTAGCCAGGATGGTCTTGCTCTCCTGACCTCGTGATCCACCCGCCTCGGCCTCCCAAAGTGCTAGGATTACAGGCGTGAGCCACCACGCCCGGCATGGTTCATTTTTCAACATTATCTCCTAACTCTGTCTGAAGAAAGGCCCTTGATGCGATGAACACACTCAGCACTCAGATCTTGGTTTCTAAGTACTAATGTCCACAAAAAGAACCAAGGTTCCTAGAAAAACACATGACTCCATGACTTAAAACAGGGAATCTATAAGATGAGCCTGAGCCATCTTATTGTACAGAAGGCAAGGGAAGTGCTCAAAGATGACAGGTTATTTCAAAAGGATACAAGAGACCGCTTGAAATGGTTCACACTGGCCAAATATAAAACAACTTCAACTTAAAAAAAAAAAAAAGCAAAATCAACTATAAAACATTTAGTAAATAGTATTTATTTTTATTACATATATTTAACATGCAAGATAACGTTTTAATACACACAATGATTACTGCAAGCATCCATCACTTTCCAGTTACCCTGTGTGTGTGTTAAGAGCACCTACAATCTACTCTCTTAGCAAATGTCCTATATTATTAACTACAGGTCTCCTACTGTACATCAGATAGCTACATTTATTCATCCTATGTAACTGCAAGTATGTACTGTCTGACCAACACTGCCCTATTTCCTCCCCCTCCTCATCCCTGGTATCCACCATTCTATTCTGTTTCTACATATTCAACTATTTTTAATTTGACACGTTAAGTGAGATCATGCCGTTTTTAATATTCTTTGTGTCTGAGTTATTTGACTTAGCATAATGTCAGTAAGTAAAAATGTTATCCAATAAGCAAAAATTACTGAATCTATAGTGATGGAGACAGCTGGAAGAAGGAGAGGGGAAGAAGGAGAGATGAAGGTTCCTCTTTACAAAATTCCAGCTATTAAATGTGTAAGAAATAACGATTAGAAAACTCATCATTCTGTAACTCGAGCAATAAATGATGTAGGCAAAGCTCAACAATGGATACGAAAATGAGGTAAGACAATAATGGGGAACAGGGCATGCACGTGGTACTGGACTAGCACTCTGAAGTTTCCTAACTAAATTATAAAATGAGATATGTACTTTTATTTTGTTGAGAGCTGGTGATCACAACCTTAACTAGGTGGTCAAACAATGCTAAGAGTGGAGTAACCAGGTATCATGAGACTTCTGATGTAAAGCATCATACACAATGCAACCGGTGAAATAGCCTCCCCACCGCCCCCCACCAAAAAGTCTAACCTGAATTTAATCAAACTTCCAGACTTAAATTCTGGTACTTTAATGCAGTGAGGCAACAAATTAAATGACATCAGTAGGAAACAATCAGATAAATTCTGAATGCAGAACTTTCTGTAAGACAAATATCCTGGCCTCTTAAAAAACCATCAGGGCCATCCGGGCGCGGTGGCTCACACCTGTAATCCCAGCACTTTGGGAAGCCGAGGCGAGCAGATCACGAGGGTCAGGAGATAGAGACCATCCTGGCTAACACTGTGAAACCCCGTCTCTACCAAAAATACAAAAACAAAATTAGCCGGGTGTGGTGGTGGGCGCCTATAGTCCCACCTACTTGGGAGGCTGAGGCGGGAGAATGGCGTGAATCCAGGAGGCGGAGCTTGCAGTGAGCAGAGATGGCACCACTGCACTCGAGCCTGGGTGACAGAGTGAGACTCCGTCTCAAAAAAAAAAAAAAAATTCAGGACCAAGGGGAATTTTTTTCAAAGGGGGGTACTGTTCAAAACTAAGAGAGACATAACTAAATGATTATGGTTTGGGAAAAAAAATATGAAAAGACATTTTGAAGATGGGGAAAACTGAATACAGTGATTATCAGATTATATCAAAGAATTACTAGGAATTGACTTAAGTGTTATATAACCACAGGTATGAGACCTTTTTCTTAAGAAATGCAGGCAACTTACTTTCAAATAAGACCATATATATATTTAATAAAATAAACTTTCAAATAAGACTGTACATATACTTAATATAAGTATTATACAGTAAATATATATTATAGAGAGGGAGAAAGGAAAGGGACTATGTACAATTATGGTTAAATGCTAACTGGAAAACAATCTAGGCAGAGGGATATGGGTACTCATCTTACTGCTCTTTCACATTTTCTGTATATTTCAAATTTTCATTTATTTATTTATTTATTAAGAGACAGGGTCTCACTCTGTTGTCCAGGCTCCAGTGAAGTGATGTGATCATAGCTCACTGCAGCCTTGAACTCCTGGGTTCAAGTGATCTTCCTGTCTCAGCCTCCCAAGTAGCTTGGACTACAACCAAGCCACCATGCCCAACTACATTTTTTTTTTTTTTTAAGAGATGGGGCCAGGCACATTGGCTCACGCCTGTAATCGCTGGACTTTGGGAGGCCAAAGCAGGTGGATCACCTGAGGCCAGGAGTTCGACACCAGCCTGGCCAACATGATGAGACCCTCCCTCTACTAAAAATACAAAAAATTAGCCAGGCATGGTGGCGCTTGCCTGTAGTCCCAGCTACCCAGGAGGCTAAGGCAGGAGAATCACTTGCACCTGGGAGGCAGAGGCTCTAGTAAGCTGAGATTGCGCCACTGCACTCCAGCCTGGGCAACAGAGCAAGACTCTGCCTCAAAAAATATTTTATAAAGATGTTAACTGGCTTTTTTAATGCATTGACATTTGTATGGATGGTGCAAAAGCAATGGTGGGTAAAACTGCTGGTGCCTTAGCACAAATAAAGGTAGGACTTCTAACTGCTACATACTATGTAGCAGTCAAAAAGTAAAATGCCAGTTTCACTTAAAGCCCTTAATGAAGGAATAAAAATAGTTAATTTTATTAAATCTCTATCCCTGAATACACTAATAATCTCTGTGACAAAACAAGTATGCATAAAACACTTCTGCTGCATGCAAAGTACAGTGGTTGTATGGAGAAAAAACCACCACTGTTTAAGTTGCAAGCCAAACTAGCTACTTTTTTCTCAAACATCATCTTTACTGGAAAGATCGACAAACTATGCTGATTCAAACGTGGGAATGTGGCAGGCATTTTCTCGAAAACAAAGAGTAAATCTGTTACCATCAGTTGTTTTCCTTGAAGTATTTGCTTCCAATAAAAAAAAATTGAACTTTTAAGCAAAAACAAATTTTAGAGAACTTGTATCTACCACTGTGAACTTGATAGGTTCCCAGTACTTACAAACTTTTCTGAGTTTGGCAGTGGTATTAACATGGTTTTTCGATACTGTATAATGAAATGTGTCATCATTTGAAAGATTTGCATAATTCATCGTAACCAGTATTTTGCAAGTGACCAGTGTATGATGTTACAAAGCATGTATGGGTAAATGCCCATTCAAAATGCAAGATAAAGCAGCAGATTTTAATGCAATGTATGAAAGGTTACTGGCACGGTTTCACATTCCAAGTTGCAACTAATCATCAAGAAACTCCCATTTCTTGAGTTTTGGGGTAGTACTGTAGAAGAATATCCAAAATTACCTGAAAAGCTTATTAAAACACAACTACGTATCACTGTGAAGTCATACAGTTTTCTAGAAATTCAAAGTCTCACCTAAGCACCTGGGAGTGCAAAACTATAGGACAATTACATTGAAAAGATCCCCAGTGGGCTCTTCAGGTAAAATAGGAAAAATAAGGCCATAAAAATTGAACACACTCATTCTTTAGTTATTTAAAAGCAATTCAATCTACAAGAATAAAAGGTACTGGCAACCTCTAATTTTAACTTTAAATAACAAAACACTATAACAAGCTATTTAAGGAATTTTTTACAAAAAAGGCGAAGTCAAATTATTCTCAATACCCATGCTGGACCATATTACATTTTGGGAGGCCAAGGCAGGCAGATAGCCTGAGCCTAGGAGTTCAAGACCAGCATGGGCAACAAACTGAAACCACGTCTCTACAAAAAATACAAAAATTAGCCAGGTATCATAATGCACGCCTGTAGTCCCAGCTATTTAGGAGTCTGAGGTGGGAGATCACCTGAGCCCGAGGACGTCAAGGCTGCACTGAGCTGGGATCACACCACTGCATTCCAGCCTGGGTGAGAGTGAGACCATCTCAAAAAAAAAAGAGGAGGAGGAATAAAGTTGGCCCTAACCTTACACCATATACAAAAATTAACTTAAAATAGAACAACGATCTAAACGTAACGACCTAAAACTATGAATTATAGGAAAAAAACATAGACAAAAATGTATGTAACACTGGATCTGGCAACAATTTATTGGATATGACACCAAAAGCACAGACAACAGAATGACAAATTGAACATCAAAATTAAAATGTTTTTGCATCAAAGGACAATATCAATACAGTGAAAAACAACTAATGAAATAGCAGAAAATATTTGTAAACCATATTACTGCTAAGGATTAACATACTACTACAACTCAATAAAAACAAAAAAACTCAATTCAAAAATGGGCAAAGGGCCGGGCACGGTGGCTCACACCTGTAATCCCAGCACTCTGGGACACCGAGGCAAGTGTATCACCTGAGGTCAGGAGTTAGGGACCAGCCTGACAAACATGATGAAACCCCATCTCTACTAAAAATACAAAATTAGCCAAGCATGGTGTCACATGCGTGTAATCCCAGCTACTTGGGAGGCTGAGGCAGGAGAATTCCTTGAACCCAGGAGGCGGAGGTTGCAGTGAGCCAAGATTGTGCTACCGCACTCCAGCCTGGGCAACAAGAGCGAAACTCCATCTAAAACAAACAAACAAAAAAACTGGGCAAAGGACTTAGACATTTCTTCAAAGATACAAAAATAGCCAGTAAACACATAAAAAATGCTCAACATCACTAATCATTAGTGAAGTGCAAATCAAACCACAATGAGATACCACTTCACACCCATTAGGCTATTATCAAAAAACAGAAAATAGAAGTGCTGGTAAGGATACGAAGAAACTAGGGCCCTCATATGTTGCTGGTAGCAATGTAAAATGGTGCAGACAACCACAGAGAACAGTTTGGCAGTTCCTCAGAAAGTTATAGGCCTACCATACTGACCCAGGAAATCCACTCCTAGGTATATATCCAAAAGAACTGAAAGCAGAGACTCAAACAGATGTATCTGTATGCCAACCTTCACAGCAGCATTATTCACAGTAGCCAAAAGGTAAAAACAATCCAAGTGTCCATCAACAGATGAATGGATAAACAAAATGTGGAAGGCATGGAGGTGTGGTGGTGTGTGTATGTCTCACACACAATGGAATATTCTTTTATATATATACATATATATCTTACATACAATGGAATTTTATTCAGCCATAAAAAGGAATGAAATTTTGACATACCGTAAAAGACAGATGTAACCTTAGAAAAATCAGGCTTAGTGAAATAAACCAGATTCATACAATGTTCGTCCTTTTGTATCTGGTTTATGATGGATATTGTATGATTCTATTTATATAAGATACTTAGAAAAAGCACATTCCTAGAGACAGAGTGGAATAGTATTGACTAGGTGTGCAGTGGGGGAGGAAGTTATTGGTTAATGGGTACAGAGTTTTTGTTGGATATGATAAAAAGGTTTTGGGTATAGATAATTGTGATGGTTACATAACACCGTGAAAGTAATGCCACTGACTTGTACACTTGAGAATGGTTTTAAAAATATGTATATTTTACAATTTTTTAAAAAATGGTTATATCTGAAAAAACGACTTACACATATCCTTTGAAAGACAGTTGCTATGATGTTTATTAGTAACTTTCAAATAAAAAATTAAGAGTTGAGCCCTCCAATAACAAATAAATAATAAAAATCACTGACAGTGCTTTACTTACCCGTTTGGGGCCACTAAAAATCTTTCTGGTATTTTCCTTTGATTTATCTCCTTGTTTATTTATGGGCTTCTTCACACTTTCAGGCACACCAGGCAAGTCCTCTGTAAAATCCAAGTTTTCTGAAATGGTAATCAAAACTATCTAGCTTACTAATATTTCAAATTACCTACCAGACAACCTATCAAGATTATATATACATGAATGAATGAAAATGGGAAGAAAAGAATAAAGGAAATCACAGCACCACAGAGCTGACAAAATACTCCCTAGAATAAGAAGTTTCATTCTGCCATTCTCCCTTCCTGCTTGTCCCTCCCGCAAGAGAAATCATAAACCTGGTTGCTGTGTATGTGTTCTAGTCTTATTTTATGTCAAATGGAAAAATCAAATCTTTTCCAAAATAATTTTCTTACTTCCGAGAGGTCACATAACTGCTGGATATCCATGGATACTGACACTGGAATGGTAAGGTTTATACACACACAAAACATCATGCGTATCTACCTGTAACATTTTTCAGAACTTTAAATCCACTAAATCATGTTGGCCTTCAAAGAATGCCTGCTGGCAACTACAAAAGCCACATTTAAAACACCAGAAAAGGAGGACAGTTATCCTTGGCAAGAGATTTAAAATGACCTAATATAACAAAGTTTAATGATTTGTCGGTCTTCAAACACAACTAACCAAAGAGTCAGTTTATTTCCCAACTGGTTAAAAATATGTATCTTTTTCTAAGCGAAACAAAATAGGAAACATAGAAAGACTCTTCTCTATCCCAATGCTTAAAATTTTTTGCTGTTTCACTTATGGTATGAAGACTCAAATTTCAACTTTGGGTAGATCAACCAAATGGCCTCTAATTTTCAAATGTTATTTAGCATCTACTTCAAGTTTCTCAAAGGGAGTCTAATTTCACATTTTACATCTTTAAAAGTTGTATTACACAAGATGTAAATTTCAGCCACAGATTCTCAATTGCAGGGGATAACTTGCTATCCAGGTTAGAATAAAAGCTTATAAGTAAACTACAGCAGGACAAGGGCGCTGGTATTGTATAGCAGTATTTATCATTCTACTGAGGAAACAAATGCCTAGCTGTTCTGCCTAGCCAGATCTTAAGTGACTATAGTAAGGCTGCTGCAAATTTCCAGTCTCCAGAAAAGATTCAAAGACAACACTGGATGTATTTCTTTTTTCTTTTTTTTCGGGGGAGGCAGGGGTGAGCCCCTAGGGGTACTCCTGTGTATGTCTAGTTTTGAAGAATAAATTAAGCAAAACTATTTTCAGGCCAAATAAAGCAAAATGGTAGGTAATCTCAAGAATGA
This sequence comes from Homo sapiens, assembly GCF_000001405.40. Taxonomy (NCBI): domain Eukaryota; kingdom Metazoa; phylum Chordata; class Mammalia; order Primates; family Hominidae; genus Homo; species Homo sapiens. The sequence goes on from NC_000010.11 coordinate 86,498,529, forward strand.
CTTATATTCTACAAGAGAATTTGTATTTCAAAATACTACTGTAATTCTAATTTACCATAATGACACTTCTGTGGCCCTACCAGGAAAAAAGCTTTATTTAATATGTAAACCAATCCAGAAAAACTATATTTGGTTAAGAAACCATGTATCCTAGAAGCTTTCACAAATTCTTCCTCACTAGATAGTCAATCCACTTCACAAAGCCCTTGTCAGGTAATGACTTAATTATGGCAGAGCTAACCTATTTCTTTTGTTTGTCTCTCACAGTGGAGACTGAACTCCTTGAGGACCCTTAGTCACTACTGAGTCTACAATCTCGGCACAAATTAAATTTCCACAGTTAAGAGGGAATGCATACTTACCTGGCACTTTTCAATTTTATTAAACCAACTTAGGAGGGTTTGAGAGTGTTTTGAATGTTTATTAGTTTTTAGCCAACCACAAAGAGTTTTTAAATTCTAATCTTCTGGTATTTCCCTCATTATAACCACCTGTTATCAGTACAGTTCCAAAGGCCCAAAATCTAATCTATGTTTTCACTGCATTTGCATTTGTCAAGTGGAAACATCACGATGTTTGGTGTCCCTGCCCCATACACATATATGCTTTAAAATTCTCAAGTGCTAAAGGTTAAATTAAAACTCAAATATGAAGACTCTCCAATCTACAAATTGGTTCCTTACAACTTGGGACCTGATCATTAACACTTGAAATGCTGTACCTTTAGATAAGGTGATTTACGGTTCTAACAGGTACTTTTAATAAATATAACAAGCTAAACTTGAGTATCTAGGAAGAAACTATGCAGCTGTTGATTCAAGCCTGAAAAACACATTTAAAGTAGCCCCCCCAGCCATCAACAGGGAATACATGCCAGTTCCTAGTGGATGCCTGAAACCAGGAATAGTACACCAAAACCTGTATATACTATGTTTTTTCGTATACATACCTATGATAAAGTTTAATTTATAAATCAAGCACAGTAAGAGATTAGCAATGACTAAGAATAGAACAATGATTTTAACAATACGCTATAATAAATGTTATGTGAATGGGATCTTTATCTTATTATACTGTACTCACCTCTTTTCAGAATATGGTTGACCTTGGGTAATTGAAACCACAGAAAGTGAAACTGCAGGTAAGGGGGAACTATTGTACTTATTATACATATTTTTTAAATTCTTACCTGCATTGTTAGTACCAGACTGACTGTCCTGGGAATTATCATTGCTTTCTGGGGGAGGCTGCAAGGAGGGTGATGGAGCTGTTTTAGTTCTTTTTTTGCTTGTCTTTCTTTCTACTTGACAGTCATCATCTTCATCATCTTCGCTTTCACTGAGATCATCAAAGCCAAAATACTTAATTTTGTAATTAGAACTTCCAGAACCTCCTTCATCACCTCCTGTCTCATGATCTTCAAAACCAAAAAATTCAAGTTTAACATCCTTTTTGGATTTAGTATTACTAGGTCGAAATCTAGTAGTAGTCTTAGAAGTTGCAATATCTGCCTTTTTTCTGAGACGACCAGCTTCTCCCAAATCTGCAGGAGTGGATGCAGTGAACTCATCCATGCTGCGTTCCATAGTATCCTGTATGGTAACATTACAAACTGACAAGCAAGATGGATGTAAAACAGTGTAATCTCTAGTCCGTCCAACTGTCCCTCTAAAACTGGTCCCACAACTTACACCCCCTTTCTTTGCCTGATTCAGGCCATCTTTACTCGATTCACTGTTTGCTTTGGCTAAGGCCTGACTGGTGCCGTCCATCAGCTTATCAAAATTTGATGCTCCTTGGGAGGATTTCGTTTTATTGGCCCTACAGTACGTCCTACAGTTGGTTGGCCTAAGAACACTTTGTACAATATCTTCCTCAATGGCTTCATTCAGATTTTCCAATCGATTTTTAAAATCGTCATCCTTCATCTCCAAAAGGGGATCACTATCCAAACTTAAAATACAGTCTTCTGATCTGATATCTTCAAAATCATTATCCCATTCAAACAAACCAGTTCTAACAGATCCCTTGATTGGAGATATTTCTGATGGTGATTCTGGCCTTTTCCCAAACTGGGAGTTCCAAGTATCATTTGTTTCCTTGATTTCAGAAGCCACTGTAGTTTCTGCATTGGGTTTCTTAGTACTGTCATCAGCATTTTTGTGAATATGGTGACTATTCTTTTCATGTTCTTCATGAAAATTCTCCACTTTATCTGTAAAAATAAGTCAAAGGATAAAAACATGAGTGGTATCAACATAAAAGTTAATAAATAACATATATGTGGTTAATCAATAGTATATGATCAATCTTGGAAGAACTGCAAATAATTTTAAGTTGTGAAGAAATTAACATTTACATATCAGACATTTCCTCTCCTATCTTTTCAGTGTATAGCTCTCATGCCTTCTACTGACCTTTCCTCAGGCAACCAAGTCCCTTAAAATTGTAAACTCACAAGAAATTTCAGCAGGGTTAAGCAACTGAATCCATTCAGAATGACATGTAAATGACTCAGCCAAACCTTCTTAGGGGTATTATGGGCTTTTCAAATAAAGATGCTTAAATTAAAAATCATTTAGTAAAACCTAAACCAACTGAACAGTTAATAAAAACCTTCTACCAGTGTTTTTATTTATCTGGGATAGGGCTGCCCATAAGGTATGCTAGTTCTATCCAGAAACCTGTCCATAGGATCAGGTTTCTCTAGCTATTTCTGTTCTTTCTTCTAATCCTAAATGCCATATAATCTCAAGGGAATTTTTAGCAGTAGTTCTGGTGTGTTAGTTAAATGGCTAATAGTGGCTATTTATGCATATCAGCCAGTAATAAATCCTCAGCCTGCCTATTCATCTGGTATGTGGAGAATTCATTTTTGTTGCCTTCAATTTTTACTATCAGAACATTTTTACAACCTTTCCAAATGAGATACAAATATGATTCCAACTGGTATTATTAATTCCCTCAACATTTACTTGTAGAAAAACACTGACAAAATGTATACCCTATGCCAAACAATAAAATTACTTCTACAAAATACATCTACATTTAAGAAAAGCTATTTACAAATCTCAATTAGCATCATCAAATACAGGTGAGAGGGATGCTTTACATGGACAGATTCACTGCATAATTTTTAATTCTACCCAATAGGTTTTCCTGCCCTCAAGACAGGATCTCACTGTCACCCACACTGGAATACAGTGGTGTGATCACAGCTCACTGCAGCTTCAGAGACCTCCAGGCCTCAAGTGATCCTCCCACCTCAGCCTCCTGAGCAGCACTCCCAAACAGCTGGAACTACAGGTGTGCACCACCACACCTGCCTAACTCCCCTTTTTATTTAACAGACAGGGTCACACTACGGTGCCTAGGCTGGTCTTGAACTCCTGGGCTCAAGCAAACGTCCTGCCTCTGCCTCCCAAAGTGCTACAATCACAGGCATGAGCCACCACGTCCAGCCTCCAAAGGGTTTTAATGTAATTTAACAGGTTAAGATTTGGTAATATCTTTTAAAACTAAAAATGTACATGTGAAAGAAAGGACTTACTCTTGAAGCCAGCAGTTTCATTTACAAGTATTTAGAAATAACTTTCCACGAACACAAAATTACATAAGTAACAAGAAACTCAATAGAACACTGTTTCCTGGTTTTTGCTTTCATAAACAATATACCAATTAATAAAGAATTAAATTACCATATAGCAACACACCTGAATACTATGCAGTTGTTAAAAAGAATGAGGCAGCTCTACATTATGTACAGATATGGATGCTCTTAGAGATGGAATGACTAAGGGATAAGGAACAAGAAAAGACTTTCATACTTCTTGAATTTTATACTGCATGTAAGTTGTCTATTCAAAAGCCAAAACATAAAAAATGCCAAAATTGTATATTTTTGGAGTCCTTATCTGTTAAAAAAATATATTTATGAATCAAATACAACATCTTGAATTTACTTTAGTGAGGATAAAAATGAAACAAGACTGGCAATGAATTGTTTGTTGAAGATTAAACAGTTGAACTGTTTAATGGAGATGGAGATACAAATAGACATTATTTTTGTAGACATAAACACACAAATGTATACATCTGTGTAACTGTATACTAGTCTATACACACAAATATATACAGACTTCCTTTACCCTCTTATAAGAAAATGAAGATACTTCCTTTGATTTCTTACCAAACCCATCATTACACAGATGAGAAAAAAAGGCCCAGAGGGGCTAATGACTGCAGAGGTTCTCAATTAAATCAATAGTCAAAAGAGACTTCATAAAAAAGACCCATACCAAACTATATTACACTACGTCTAGTGGTGGCTGCTAAACACTAAAATGCTAGGCCAGGCGTGGTGGCTCATGCCTGTAATCCCAGCAGTTTGGGAGGCCAAGGCGGGCGGATCATGAGGTCAGGAGTTCGAGGCCAGCCTGGCCAACATGGTGAAACCCTGTCTCTACTAAAAACACAAAAATTAGCCAGGCGTGGTGGCGGGCGCCTGTAGTCCCAGCTACTCAGGAGGCTGAGGCAGGAGAACTGCTTGAACCCGGGAGGCAGAGGTTGCAGTGAGCCAAGATCATGTCACTGTACTCCAACCTGGGCAAAAGAGCGAGACTCTGTTTAAAAGAACAACAACAACAAAACTAATTCACTGGCTGGGCGCGGGGGCTCACACCTGTAATCCCAGCACTTTGGGAGGCTGAGGTGGAAATAGCAAATGTTTATCTCACGGTGTGCTGAGGACTAAACTTAAACAATGCCTTTAACCTGTAAGAAATCTGTGCAAATGATACAAAGTGGCTTGGAGACCATAACCCATGAAATACAGTTGAGGCAACTAGAAAGGTTTAATTGGTGCAGGGATGGAAGAAAACTGCCATTACATGAAACCTGCCTTTAAATATCTGAATGGCTGTCATGATAAGAAAACAAACTTCGCCGGGTGTGGTGGCTCATGCCTGTAATCCCAGCACTTTGGGAGGCCGAAGCGGGTGGGTCATCAGGTCAGGAGATTGAGACCATCCTGGCTAACACAGTGAAACTCCGTCTCTACTAAAAATACAAAAAAATGAGCCAGGCGTGGTGGCGGGCATCTGTAGTTCCAGCTACCCGGGAGGCTGAGGCAGGAGAATGGCGTGAACCCGGAAGGCGGAGCTTGCAGTGAGCCAAGATCACACCACTGCACCACGGCCTGGGTGACAGAGCAAGACTCCATCTCAAAAAAAAAAAAGAATACACACATGAAAAATGCTTATCATTAGTTGCTAGGGAAACACAAAAGGTAAATTCCTTAATATACCAAGAATCCTTACACATCAGTAAGTCCAATGTCCCAGTAGAAAATGGCGCTAGGGGCCAGGCACAATGGCTCAGGCCTATAATGCCGGCTCTTTGGGAGGCCGAGTCAGGCAGATCACTTGAGGCCAGAAGTTCGAGACCAGTGTGGCCAACATGGTGAAACCCTGTCTCCACTAAAAAGACAAAAAAAACCCAGCCAGGCGTGGTGGCACATGCCAGTCGTCCTCGCTACTTGGGAGGCTGAGGCACAAGAATTGTTTGAACCCAGGAGGCAGAGGTTGTAGTGAGCTGAGATAGCACCACTGCACTCCAGCCTGGGCAACAGAGCAAGACTCTGCCTCAAAAATAAATGAATAAATAATAAGCCAAGAACACAAAGAAGCAATTCATTAAAATATATATCTATAATGAATTAAATAACTTATGAAGGATACTCAATTTCACTCACAATTAAAACTCAAAGTAAAACAAAGCTGAACTATATTTATATAAGCCCTCGGTATGTGCCTGGTAGTATTCTAAATACTTTCTATTAATTTATTTTATCTCAAAGCAACCATCAGGCCAGGTGCGGTGGCTCACGCCTGTAATCCCAGCACTTTGGGAGGCAGAGGTGGGCAGATCACGAGGTCAGGAGATCGAGACCAGACTAGCTAACACGGTGACACCCCATCTCTACTAAAAAATACAAAAAATTAGCCGGGCGTAGTAGCACACACCTGTAGTCCAAGCTACTTGGGAGGCTGAGGCAGAAGAATCGCTTGAACCTGGGAGGCAGAGGTGGCAGTGAGCCCCGTCGACAGAGCGAGACTCAGTCTCAAAAAAAAAAAGAAAAAGGAATAACAGGGACATAGCAGTACGTGCTTATAGTCCCACCTAGAGCTACCCAGGGCACTGTGGCCAGCGGTTCATTTGAGGCTGCTGTTATGATCACACCTGTGTGAGTAGCCACGCACTCCAGCCTGAGCAACACAGCGAGGCTCCATCTTGACAACAAAAAACAACAAAAAATAGGAATAAAATTGATGCCAAAGAACTTTTTTGTCCAAAACCTTTATATACTTTAGCAATAACATTCATTCATATATATATAAACTAACTGAAAAAAGCCCACTCATCTCTTAAAAGATACATTTCCAATAAATTTTATCTTTAATATATACAGCATTCAAGTTTGATTATAGCATTCAAGTTTGATCAAATATTCTGAGAGCATTTGATTAAAAAAATAAAAGCACTGATAACTGTGATCATGATGTAGTACAGAATTATTTTTAAAACAGTTTAGAGCACTACAGTCACATAAAATTCCTAAAAGCTGTAGAGTTTTTTTTTCTGTAGAGACAGGATTTTTTTATGTTTTTTTTATGTTGCCCAGGCTGGTCTCAAACTCCTAGACTCAGGCGATCCTCCCATCTCAGCCTCCCAAAGTACTGGGATTACAAGCTTCAGCCACAGTGCCCAACTCTTTTTTTTTTTTTTTTTTTTTTTTTGGAGACAGAGTCTTGCTCTGTCAATAAGGCAGTGGTGCAGTCTCCACCTCCCACGTTCAAGTGATATTCTCCTGTCTCAACCTCCTGAGTAGCTGGGACTACAGGCGCGAGTCACCATTCCCAGCTAATTTTTTTATTTTTAGCAGAGACGGGGTTTCACCATGTTGACCAGGCTGGTCTCAAACTCCTGACCTCAAGTGATCTGCCTACCTCAGCCTCCCAAAGTGCTAGGATTACAGGCATGAGCCACCGCGCCCGGTCACAGCCCTTAAAAATTTGAATTTAAATGCATATACATATTTTTGTACCAGCCTCGGCTCTTAAAAATTTGAATTTAAATGCATATACATATTTTTATACCAAGAATTATGAAAAGGATGACCACTAAAAGACTAAACATAAATACTATAATCATTAGGATAAAATTCTGAAGGGGAAGTAGGATAGAAATACAATTTCAAAAAGAACAAGGAACACTATATTCTGGCTATTGAAGAGCATGTTCTTGTATTTTTTTAAACATACGAAAGTGAACAGTTTCTGGGGCATAATGGGGACTTGTAAGAAAGAAAAATTATTAAAGAAAAAATTTTAAAAAGAGAATGAACAGCAAGTAATTATGGCATTTGCAAGCAAGAAAATAATTATGGGCCAGAAGCACTGGTTCATGACAGTAATACCAACACTTTGGGAGGCCAAGGTGTGAGGACTACTTGAGCTCAGGAGTTCAAGACCTTGTCTCTACTAAAATCAAAAAAAATTAGCTGACTGTGATGGTACACACCCGTGGTCCCAACTTCTCAGGAGGCTGAGGCAGGAAGATTACCTGTGCCCAGAAGATTGAGGCTGCAGTGAAACATGATTGCATTACTGTACTCCAGTCTGGGCAACAGAGCGAGACCATCTCCAAAAACAAAAACAAACAAACAAACAAACAAAATACTTTGAGGGTGAGGAAGGAGGAAGTGATGCATGAAAGAACTTCTAAACTGGCTGGCACAATTCTATTTCCTAACTTAGGTAATGGTTACAGGAGTGTTCCTCTTCTAATAATTAATTAAGCTAGACCCTTTTGTGTGGTTTTCTGTTTTATTTTACAATTTAAAAAAGTTAAAAGAAATCACTATGACATCTAAACTGCATGTTATATTTTAAAATGTCAATATTGGCCACGTGTGGTGGCTCACGCCTGTAATCCCAGCACTTGGGGTGGGAGGGGCGGCAGGCCAAAGCAGGGGGATCACTTGCATCCAGGAGTCAGAGACCAGCCTAGGCAACAAAGCAAGACTCTCTCTACAAAAAAAAATTTTGAAAATCAGCCAGGAGTGGTGGCACGTTCCTATAGTCCTAGCTACTCAGGAAGTGGGGGTAGGAGGATCACTTAAGCCCAGGAGTTTAAGGTTGCA